>NC_000001.11:211366405-211517920 GCF_000001405.40 Homo sapiens
GTCAGGTACAATGTTTGCTGCTAGGGACACTGAGCCAAGGAAGATGTAGCCTCTACCCTTGAAGAACTAACATAAATGTAAACAGGTAAGTTGTCATGCCTTGTAGGACATGCTGTAACTCAGTCTGGGGTACAGAGACTGCAGCAGTTTATTCTAGGGGAGTTGGGGAAGACTTTCAAGGTAAGACATCCAAGCTGCCTCTTGAAGTAGGAAAGATTCATCAGTTAAAATGTTGTGGAAGAAGGACATCCAAAAGGGAGAGCTTGCACTGAAGCAGGGAGGCATAAGAAATCCTGATGAGTCAAGGAAATGGGGTTTTAGGATGAATGGACTTCTGAGTGTGAGATAGAGAAAGGCTAGAGACTGGTGTGTTGGATCCAGATTGCAGTGGCCTTCCGTGTAGCCTAAGAAGTTTTGAACACTGCATTCAATTATTTTTTTATCATTTATACTCTGCCTTGTTTCAGAAAGGTTTTAAGGGCCAGAAGTTTGAACTAATGTTTTTTTCAATAATAGGGAGCTAATGGAGGTTTCTTAATTGGAAAACACTTGGTCAGCTAATTGTTTGTTTGTTTGTTTGTTTGTTTGTTTGTTGAGATAGGGTCTGGCCCTGTCACCCAGGCTGGAGTACACTGGTACGATCTGGACTGTCTGTAATCTCTGCCTCCTAGGCTCAAGAGATTCTCCTACCTCAGCCTCTTGAGTAGCTGGGACTATAGGTGTGCACCACCACACTCGGCTAATTTTTGTATTTTTTTTGTAGAGACAGGGTTTTGCCATGTTGTCCAGGCTGGTCTCATGAGCTCAAGCCATCTGCCTGCCTCAGCCGCCCAAAGCGGTTTGTTTGTTTTTCTTTTTTAAAGCAAGACAGTTGGTAATAGCATGGCAATTGATAAGAGTGAAGGCTCTGGAGCCAGAATGCTTGGGTTTGCAGCCAGGCTGCACACTAGCCATATGAGTTTGGACAAACTACCTCATTTCTGTCATCCCCAGTTTCCTCATTTGTAAATGGGGTTGTGGTGATGGTAAAAAGGGATAATATAGTTAAGCTAGTAGTACAATGCCTAACACATAATAAGTACTTCAATAGTAGGTGGAAGCAAGATGCTGGAGGTGGTGGTGGTGATGGTGAAGGCTCAACCAAGTCCATGTCAGTGGACTGGAAAGAGAGAGAGTATCAAGAGGCCTTCTGAGGTTGTAAATGACATGCAGAAAGCTGAGTAGGGAGGGGACATGGTAATGATATTAACCAAGATGGGCACTACAAAACTGGAGCATGTTAGAGGTGAGGGTGCAGAGAGAGACAAGGAGTTTGCTTTTGGTCAGGCAGGTAGGTGGAAGTCAGCTCTAGGGGTCTAAATAAAGGATTCCAGGGCCAGAGATCAAATGATTGTCTCAGCCATTTGTGCATTCATTCATAAAATATGTATCAAATGCCCTCTCTGTGCCAGGCACTGTCCTAGGCTCTAAGGATAAAGAAATAAATGAGATGTAGTCTCAAGATACAATTTAATGGAGAAGACCAAAACAACAACAAAAAGCAAGTTATAAGCATGATAATGATGATTTATACACTAGAATATGGACAGGGTATCATGGAACTTGAGAGGTGGTCTCGGCGGGTGGTGCAAGTAAGGAAATATTTCCAAGAGGATGTACCCATGAGTGGAGGCTTAAAAAGTGGTAGTTTTTAGATGAAGAGAGAGGTGTCTGAGAGGGCAGAGCCTGACAAAATAGGAGTTGTGTGGTCTTGCTGGGCAGGATGCATGTGGAATGTGAATGGGTTTGAGGCTGAAAGTGTAGCCAGGGGCAGGTCACGTAGGGCCCAGTGTCACCTGTAAAAGCAAGCCACTAGAAATGTTTATGCAGGGAAGGCTCAAGACCAGATTTGTCTCTTAATATTATTCTGGTCACAGTAAGGAGTACAAATTGAAGGAGAACAAGACTAAAGCCAGGGAGAGCATTCATGCTGTTCATTCATTTAACAAATATTTATTAAGCACCTACTGGTACCAGGCACCAGTCCAGTTGCTGGGGTCATAGTGGACTGTGAGGTTCATGGCAGTTCCAGCTCCCATGGAACTTATGTTCTGGTGTGTGCTGGGGGTAGAATGGGTAGAGCAGGACCAGTTAGAAAGCTGCTGTTGCAGCCCAAGAGAGAAATAATGAAGACTGAAACTAGTGCTGAAATGAGAAATGGATTTAAGTCTTTTTGTTTCTGTTGTCATGTTAAAAGTTAAAATTGGCAACTGTTGCAGATTGAATGGATATGGGAATAAGAGAAGAGCTGTCTAGGATCAGCTTTAGGTATCTGTTTCTTTCAAGTAGATTATAAAATCTGTCAATATGCTACCCACGCATTTTGCCTATCACTTGCTGGCTTGTATGCTGGATGGGTTACTTAAACTCTCTACCTCTGTTTCCTCATCTGAAAAATGAGTCTAATATTCGTGCAACTCATAGGGTTCTTTGAGGCATACAAGAGCTAATGAATATAAGGGTATGATAGACAGTCAGCAAGTTTTTGTCATTATTACTTTTGCTACTGTGCATGTAACATTTAATGTGGTATGGTGATCAGTACTCTTTGGTGGTAGTTTTATTTTGTTTTAAGAGACAAGGTGTCACTATGTTGCCCAGGCTAGACTCAATCTCCTGGACTCAAGTGATCCTCCCCATCAGCTTCCCAGGTACCTGAGATTACAGGGGCCTGGCTTCTGTGGTTGCTTAATAAGTCCATGTTGAATGAATGAAGAGAACCAGTTCAGTAAATTCAGTCAGGTGATGTCTGTCATTAGGTGAACCATCATAGTAGGTTAGGTATAGAAAAGGCTGATGAGAAATTCTGTAGATGTGGCTTTTTGGAACCACCTGTGAATATCTTCCTATAATTATGTAGGAATCTACCCTGTAAATATTTTCCTAGAAATAAATATGTAGATTTTTTCCTAGAAATACTTTCTTAGCTGCAAGTGCATGCATATTTTAACTATATGCATGCAGTTATATTCAGTGACTTTATTTTTCCTCACGTTCCTGTTATTAGATTTCTGACTTACACAAGAGCCTAGAACAGAAAGAAAGTAAAATCCAGCAGCTAGCAGAAACTATAAAGAAACTTGAAAAGGAGTTCAAGCAGTTTGCACAGTTGTTTGGCAAAAATGGAAGCTTCCTCCCAAACATCCAGGTAAGAAATGGCCTTTGCGTTGAAAGCCAAGATTTGGCTTTCAATTGCAGTGAGAGTTTTTCTTTTAACTTCTTAAATAGAAATAATTTAAAATATACAGAAAAGCTGTAAGAATAAGATGGTGCAAAGAACACTTGTATAACCTCCACCCTGATTCACTCATGGCCAACATTTTGTCCCGTTTGCTTCATCATTCATGCTCCCCTCCACTGCTCCTCCCCCGACGTGTATGTGTGTGTGTGTGTGCGTGTGCATGTGTGTGCACGTGCTCTCTCTAAACCATTTGCGAGTACGCTGCGTATATTATGGCCCTTTACCTCTACATATTAATACTTCAGTATGTATTTCCTAAGAATAAAGATCTTCTTTTACACAACCCCAGTACGTTTAGCAATATCAGTAACTTTAACATTGATACAATGCTTCTATATAATTTATAGCAATTAGGGTTTTAATTAATGTTGGGCCATATTAATCACTTGATTGCAGATTCATTGAGAGCATCTGTAGTTCTGCATTTTGTGGTCAACAAGTGAAACTATTAATTTCCTTGGGAAGAAAATGCTTTAAACATCACTAAAATATAGCAAAAATAATACTTTGTAAATTATGAACATTAAATAACCATAAATGAATTCTGATGAATAATGTCTTTATCATGATTATAAAATTTATAGTGAAAAAGATTTCAAGACATGTGGTGTAGGCAATATATTTGAAATTTAAGTTATCCCAGAAAATCTAGGCCCTATAATTTCCATACTTGGCCAGCACATTATACATTAAACACACACACACACACACACACACACACACACACCCTTCATATACATACAATGTATATGTATGTGAAATATATATAAAGTATATATGCACATGTGTATATACATTAATATGCACAGATGCTCCTTGACTTACAATGGAGTTATGTCCTGATAAACCCATTAAGTTGAAAATATCGTAAGTCAAAAATGTGTTTGATACACCTAACCTATTAAACATCATAGCTTAGCCTAGCATACCTTAAACATGCTCAGAACACTTACATTAGCCTACAGTTGGGCAGTCATCTAACACAAAGCCTATTTTGTAATAAAGTATTGAATTCCACATGTAATTTATCAAATACTGAAAGTGAAAAACAAAATGGGTACTTTGAGTAGCCATACCTTATATTGTACACACATAGGAAAAGGGAGGAGTAGTTTTATTTAGTCTCTTCCACCTGAGAGAGCAGTCAAAAGTTTAGGCCGTACTCAGGGCCTTCTGCACCACCTGTAGAGCTCAGGCCAGAACAGGTGGGCGTATTCCATTTCATTCTCCACCTTCTAGCAGAGCAGGAGTGAATCAGGAGATTGGCTTCTAAGAAGAGAAAGAAGTGATAGGGCAAGAGGAGAAACAACATGAAAATAAATATATAAAGATAGGTTGGAGAACCAAGCAGAGGGAAACAGAGGGAGGATAAAAATCAGATAAAGAAAAGTTCAAACATTTAGAACAGGAGCTGTGGTAGGAGAGGAGGAGGAGGAAGATAATTAGGTGGCTCATCTCTCTGTGATCCTCATTGAATTTTATTTTCTGGGCTTGTATTTTTCATTCTGTTAATTGATTAAATGTGATATGTTTGAATTGAAAAAAATTTTAATCTCAATGAATTGCTAAAATATTAACTAATTTTTTAAACATGATTATCCATTTTGTAATGAAAGGTTTTTGCCAGTCACATTGACAAGTCAGCTTGGCTAGAAGCTCAAGTGCATCAATTATTACAAATGGTTAACCAGCAACAAAATAAATTTGACCTGAGACCTTTGATGGAAGCAGTTGATACAGTGAAACAGAAAATTACCCTGCTAGAAAACAATGATCAAAGATTAGGTATGTCTGATATTTTATTTCTCTTTTGGTGACTCATTTGTCTGCATGTGTTCATGAAACAACCAAACACCTGGCCAAATAGAGAGTCACATCTGTCCAGGATAAACAATGGCTGAATCTGCTATTTGTGAAAGAGAATGGTAAGATTCTGGCCACTCAGGCAAAAATGAGGGAGGGCCACAAGGGGGGTTGAGGGACTGGGCTAGGAAATTCCAAGACTGGAAACAGGCCAGCAAATTCCAAGAAAGGGATTGATGACTTTAAAGAAGAATGAAAAATAATGAGAAGACTCAGGGAGAGATGTGATGGGATCATTGTTTTAGGTATGGAAAAATATTAAAGGGTTTGGCCATTTAAAAGCATTCTAGTTAGAAAAGTTTGGGGCTCAGCATGCTGATTCACGCTAGTTGAATGCTCAGTGTGTCTTCTCTACACTTCAGTGAGTTTAAGAGTACACATCTAGGTTTCCTTGGAGGCACTGTGCCAAGACATGATATTCCCTGAGTTAATATTACTACAACAAATGAATTCAGCTCATCTTTAGGATGGCAGGATTTTGTTGATTCTCTTTCAGGTAACAAAATTCCACTTTGGGAAAATTTTAAAGATAACTTTTAGGCCTATGGAATCTTTTTTTTTTTTTTTTCTTATTTGCAGCCGTTTTAGAAGAGGAAACTAACAAACATGATACCCACATTAATATTCATAAAGCACAGCTGAGTAAAAATGAAGAGCGATTTAAACTGCTGGAGGGTACTTGCTATAATGGAAAGCTCATTTGGAAGGTGACAGATTACAAGATGAAGAAGAGAGAGGCGGTGGATGGGCACACAGTGTCCATCTTCAGCCAGTCCTTCTACACCAGCCGCTGTGGCTACCGGCTCTGTGCTAGAGCATACCTGAATGGGGATGGGTCAGGGAGGGGGTCACACCTGTCCCTATACTTTGTGGTCATGCGAGGAGAGTTTGACTCACTGTTGCAGTGGCCATTCAGGCAGAGGGTGACCCTGATGCTTCTGGACCAGAGTGGCAAAAAGAACATTATGGAGACCTTCAAACCTGACCCCAATAGCAGCAGCTTTAAAAGACCTGATGGGGAGATGAACATTGCATCTGGCTGTCCCCGCTTTGTGGCTCATTCTGTTTTGGAGAATGCCAAGAACGCCTACATTAAAGATGACACTCTGTTCTTGAAAGTGGCCGTGGACTTAACTGACCTGGAGGATCTCTAGTCACTGTTATGGGGTGATAAGAGGACTTCTTGGGGCCAGAACTGTGGAGGAGAGCACATTTGATTATCATATTGACCTGGATTTAGACTCAAAGCACATTTGTATTTGCCTTTTTCCTTAACGTTTGAAGTCAGTTTAAAACTTCTGAAGTGCTGTCTTTTTACATTTTACTCTGTCCCAGTTTGAAACTTAAAACTCTTAGAATATTCTCTTATTATTTATATTTTTATATTTCTTGAAAGATGGTAAGTTTCTTGAAGTTTTTGGGGCGTTTCTCTTTTACTGGTGCTTAGCGCAGTGTCTCGGGCACTCTAAATATTGAGTGTTATGGAGGACACAGAGGTAGCAGAATCCCAGTTGAAAATGTTTTGATATTTTATTGTTTGGCCTATTGATTCTAGACCTGGCCTTAAGTCTGCAAAAGCCATCTTTATAAGGTAGGCTGTTCCAGTTAAGTAGTGGGTGATGTAGTTACAAAGATAATATGCTCAGTTTGGACCTTTTTTTCAGTTAAATGCTAAATATATGAAAATTACTATACCTCTAAGTATTTTCATGAAATTCACCAGCAGTTTGCAAGCACAGTTTTGCAAGGCTGCATAAGAACTGGTGAATGGGGTAAGCATTTTCATTCTTCCTGCTGAAGTAAAGCAGAAAGTACTGCATAGTATATGAGATATAGCCAGCTAGCTAAAGTTCAGATTTTGTTAGGTTCAACCCTATGAAAAAAACTATTTTCATAGGTCAAAAATGGTAAAAAATTAGCAGTTTCATAAGATTCAACCAAATAAATATATATATACACACACACATACATATACACCTATATATGTGTGTATACAAACAGTTCGAATGTATTTTGGTGACAGTAATAAATCAATGTGAGGATGGATAGAATTTAGTATATGATAGAGAAAATGTCATAAATGGATAAAAGGAATTTACAACTTGAGGAGAAAACCTTTACAATTTCCTATGGGTGTCAGAAGTACTCTCAGCGAAAACTGATGGCTAAAACAGTATCTACTATTCTCTGATAACTTTTTTTTTGAGACAGAGTTTCATTGTCACCCAGGCTGGAGTACAGTGGCATGATCTCAGCTCACTGCAAACTCTGCCTCCCGAATTCAAGTGATTCTCCTGCCTCAGCCTCCTGAGTAGCTGGGATTACAGGCGCCCGTCACCACACCCAGGTAATTTTTGTATTTTTAGTAGAGACGGAGTTTTGCCATGTTGGCCAAGCTGATCTCAAACTCCTGACCTCAAGTGATCTGCCCGCCTCGGCCTCCCAAAGTGCTGAGATTACAGGCATGACCCACCGCGTCAAGCCTCTGACAACTATTGAATTTGTAAGCTGCTATGCAAATGGGCATTTATATAAACTTGTGATGTTTCTTGTCAGAATTCTGAGTACTCTGTGAAGAACAGAAATGATCATATTCTTATGCATCTATCTGTATGGGTCTGAAGGTGTATATACAAACTGAGATGAGTCCTTATGACTCTTGATAAGCCTGAGTTTAACAACAACAAAAATGCCAAGTTGTCCTGAGCCCTTCTGCGTTGTTATGCCACTTCCCTACTGCTCATATGCACGCTGGCTCCCCTGGGCACGCAAGGATGAGTATGGGCCATGGGCCCCTGTAGAGCTGCTTACCTGGTGATGACCATGCACCTTACAATTTCTGAACAGTTAACCCTATAGAAGCATGCTTTATATGAGTGTCTTCTGGGAAGAGGAACCTTCTTAATCTCTTCTGTGGGATTTTCAAAATGCTAAAGACTCACACTGCAGCAATCATCCCAGATGATTAAATTCAAAGAAATAGGTTCACAACAGGAATATACTGAAGAACTAGAGTGTCACTGCTGGTGAACTGTGGCACGGTTGCTCAACACATCACCTCGGACAAATTCAGGAAGCATTTCTTTAGCCCACAAGTCCAGACCCAGGTGCTCTGTATGTTTGTTTTTAATATTCATCATATCCAAGTTCACTCTGTCTTCCTGAGCAGTGGAAGATCATATTGCTGTAACTTCTTTTAAGTAGTTGATGTGGAAAACATTTTAAAGTGAATTTGTCAAAATGCTGGTTTTGTGTTTTATCCAACTTTTGTGCATATATATAAAGTATGTCATGGCATGGTTTGCTTAGGAGTTCAGAGTTCCTTCATCATCGAAATAGTGATTAAGTGATCCCAGAACAAGGAATACTAGAGTAAAAAGCACCTCTTTTTCACAAAACGAGTTGTGATTTTTGTTTTAAACAAGGTGGATCCATGTAAACTATTTTTCCTTTTTTTATGAACAGGACAGTAATTTTTCTTCTGTATCAATAAGATTTAAATTTTTATTTCCATTTTGGGTTAATTTTGGTTCCTGATGAAAAGATAACAATACACTAAGCATAAAGGGGAAGTTAATAAGTTACAGAAGGATTATAGTGGGGGTGTGTGTGTTAATAATGCTTATTAACAAGTCTGAAATCTGACTCCTGATTTCCACATTTGGTATTTTCAGAGAAAACAAGAGATAGTCACAGCCAGGATCAATTCACAGTGCCAGTCCTGAATACAATAGGACAGTGAAGTACAAACCCTTTGTGTGGTCCCTGGATAATCAGTCCACGCTACTGACTACCTCTTTTCTCTTAGAAAGCAGTTGGAGACATACGTCTCAATCTTATATAAGAATTCTGAGCTGGAGATAAAGGTTTGATGGAGGCACAGTAGGGGTCCCAGGTGGTGAAATCACACAGGAATAACACATTCTATGGGAAGAGGAAGACGAGCCTGTAAAGCATTTGGAGAAGGAATGATCAGAGGTAAGAGAAACACCAAGGAAGGTGGGAAGAGAAAAGAATGTCAACAGGGCCAAATGCCAGCCTCGGAACAGCAGCCACTCCCAGAGCACTCCCACAGCCCTTCTGAACACACTCTCACCCCCATGCTGCTCTCTCCTCAAGTCTGTATCTCTGACCCTGGCCTTTGCCATAAGCTGATCTGAGTACCTGCTGAACATCTAAATTCAGGAATCCCATAGGGACTTTAAGAACCACTTCACCATACGGAACTGGAAATCTTCCTACCTTCCCCACTACTGCCAACCTATTACTCCTCAATTTTTTCTACCTAAATGACATCATTGTCCGAGCCAAAAGTTTGGACACTATTTTAGATTCCTCCCTCATCTTCCCTATCCAGTAACCCACCCTGCACTGCCAATTTGATCTCCAAATAATTTCTTTAAAAGTATTCCTACTACTTACCCCTCCTCAGTACTACTGTCCTGTTTCAGGCCTACATTATTTTTTAACTTACAACTATTCTTCCTATTTTTAGTTGTGCCTCTTTGAAATCCAACCTCTACAGTGTCACCTGATGATCCGTCTCAAATGAAAATCTGAATATGACTCCCACCCCACCCACACTGTGGCTTCATAGCCCATAGGAAAAAGCCCAGCCTCATGGAGTGCCATACAAGGCCCTCCATGCCACTTGTACCTTTCCGGCCTCACCTCCTGACATTTCTACTTTGCATTTAGCAACACCACCCCAAGCTATCTGATATTTGTCTGAGCTTGTGCTATATGTCTATCTGGAATACTCTTTTTTTTGAGATAGGGTCTTACTCTGTCACCCAGGCTGCAGTCCAGTGGCGCAATTACAGCTCACTGCAGCCTTGACCTCCCTGGGTTCAGGTGATCCTTCCACCTCTGCCTCCCAAGTAGATGGGACTACAGGCATGCAACACCATGCCCGGCTAATTTTTTTGTATTTTCTGTAGAGATGGAGTTTCACCGTGTTGCCCAGGCTGGTCTTAAACTTCCAGGCTCGTGACCTGCCCACCTCAGCCTCCCAAAGAGCTATGATTACAGGCGTGAGCCACCATGCCTGGCCTGAATACTCTTCTCTATCCTTACCTTCTTTGCCTGGATAATTCTTGCCCTTCAAGATTCTGCTTTGGCCTCACCTCTGGGATGCCTTCCTAAACTATCCTTTAATCTGTAACCCTACTCCCACACTTCACCCTTAGTAACTGCCCATCAGGTTCATTTTGCCCACTGCCCAAATAGAGCCGATTTATCAAGACAAAGGAATTGTAACAGAGAAAGAGTTTAATTCACACAGCTGGTTGTACAGGAGACTGCCGTTTTATTATTGCTCAGATCAGTCTCCCTGAAAATTCGGAGACTGGGGTTTTTAAGGATAATCTCATGGATGGGGGGCAGGTAGTGGGGAGTGCTGACTGGTCCCCCAGGAATGGGGAGTCAAAGCTGTCCTCTTGTGCTGAGTCAGTTCCTGAGTGGAAGCCACAAGACCATCAGTCTGGGTGGGAGCAGCTGATCCATCCAGGGAGGGGTCTGAAAATACCTTGAGCACCAATCGTAGGTTTTATAATAGTGATGTTATCCCTAGGAGCAATTGGGGAGGCTTAGAATCTTGTGGCCTCTAGCTGCATGACTCCTAAACTATAATTTCTAATGTTGTGGCTCATTTGTTAGTCCTACAAAGTCTGGTCCCCAGGCAGGAAGGGGGTTTGTTCTGAGATAGGACTGTTGTCATCTTTGTTTCAAAGTAAAACTAAGTTCCTCCCAAAGTTAGTTCCGCCTACACTCAGGAATGCACAAGAACAGCTTGGGGGTTAGAAGTGAGATGGAGTTGGCTAGGTCAGATCTCTTTCACTGTCATAATTGGCTGTCATAATTTCTGCAAAGGTGGTTTCACCTTCACTATGTCAAGAATCCTTGCTCTGTGCTGTATACTTCTTTTCCCATACCTCAATTGCTCGACTTTTCTTTTTCCAGAAAACAAATGTTGACTACATATTTGTCAGATTGTGGGAGTTACAAATAGAACAGATATTGTCCCTGTCCTCCTCAGACTTCTAATCTGTAGGTCAATCAGAAGTGGTACAGAAAACTGATCAGTGTGTAAATCTTCCCCAGCCTCCAGGCTGATAAAGACTTTGCCTCTCCACTTCTCTCCCCAGTGTCCTAAGAAAGTGTACCTCTCAGACCTGTTCTGGATGTTTGTGATGCAAAATAAGAGAACAGGCAGAAAAGCATTTGAAAGGTGAGCTCTAAGGGAAAGGTTTATGGAGAGTAGCTAAACAGATCCACATAAGGATTGGGGAGAATTAAAGAAGAGAGAGGAGGGAATTTGAAACTATGGAAACACTGCAAAAGCAGCCATGGAAATAAGAAAAAACAAAACAAAACAACAAACAGAAACTACGGGAACTGCTGGGAACTGTGACTTGGAGCCTTTTTTATTCTTTTTTCTTTCAAGAGGCCCATGCTAAAGACTAAAATACATTTTAAAATTATTTTTGGCTGTTTGAAATATACTTATTTGAAACTCCACGCATAGACTCTATGGCCCCAGAATTTATAAGACATTTGAACAAATTAAGTACATAACAATACAAGTTGTGACAAGTGCCTTGAAGAAAATGACAGAGTACAGGAAAAGACTGATGGGGCTGCTGTGGGGAAAATGTACTGGGGTTGTCAGAGAAGGCCTTAATGCTGAGGTAACACATTATCTCATGTTCATGTGACATGTTTTCTGAATACCCAGCACTTTTCAACACGCTTATAAAGTCTGAGGCATTTCCTATGAGAAAACTTGCCTCCTTGACCCCCTTTGTAGCACAGCAATGTGACCTAGGCCCCACCAAGCAGGCATAGCCAATGCAAAATTTCAACTTGAAAGTGAGCAAGACAGGCTGGGCACAGTGGCTCGCGCCTGTAATCCCAGCACTTTGGGAGGCTGAGGAGGGTGGATCACAAGGTCAGGAGTTCGAGACCAGCCTGGCCAACAGGTGAAACCTCGTCTCTACTAAAAATACAAAAATTAGCCGGGCGTGGTGGCGGGCACCTGTAGTCCCAGCTACTCGGGAGGCTGAGGCAGGAGAATTGCTTGAACCTGGGAGGCAGAGGTTGCAGTGAGCTGAGATCATGCCACTGCACTCCAGCCTGGGTGACAGAGTGAGACTCCATCTCCAAAAAAAAAAAAAAAAAAAAGTGAGCAAGATGAAGAAGGAAACATGCCTAACTCTGGCTACCAGTGGGGACCGCCAGTGTTTGTGGAAGTTGCAGTTTTGGTGTCAATGGTGGCAGCAGCAATGGATTCTCACTAGATCGTCTAGTGTGTTTGGGTACCGTTGTTTCCATATTTGGCCTCTGGCTCTCCTAGAGATTCTGTGAGCTACATGATTTTTTAAAAGTCCTTTTCTTTCTCAACCAGAGTGGATTCCGTTGCTTGTAACTAACTGCCTGACCTAATCAAGCTGAGATCTGAAAGATGAGTCAGTCGTGGGAAGAGCTGTCAGGGTGGATCAGTAATCTGAGCAGAGGGCACTGAAGAGTGTTGGCTCAAGGAACTGAGAAGAGGATAGTGTGGTGGGAATTTGGTAGAAATCAGGAGAATGATAGTTGATGAGGTTAGAGAGGGAGGCACAGGGTTTAGAACCTGAGGGCTCAGGCCATGGTGAGAAGTTTATGGTTTATGTAAAGTATAATGAAAGTTAACATATGATGGGCAGAGGATGCATGATCTGATTAATGTTTTGCCTCTTAATGTGGAGCACAGATTAGAAGGGGGACAAGAGAGAACATGGGAAGAGTATTAAGGTTAAATCGTATTGAAATTGCATTTCATGTCTGTTCCCTTATGAGACCACTGAAGCCGAGAACCATGTCTAATTCAAAAGTGCACAGCAGGTGCTCAGTGTATTAAAATGAATGAATACACTAATGCACTGAATTTTTGTAACAACTCTGATAGGCAAGTCTTCTGCCCATTCCATAGATGAAAAATCTGGTAAAGAGATCCAAGCATTAGGCACTGTCCTAAGAATGTTACATATATTAACATATTAATCTTAGAACAACCTCATGAGGTATATGCTGTATTATCCCCACTTTACAGATGAAACAACTGAGGCACAGAGAGTTTATGTAATAAGCTCTAGGTTACTCAGCTAATAAGTGGTAGTGCTAGGATCTGAATCCAGGCAGTCTGGCCTCACAGGCTCCACTCTTAACCACTACACAGACTGCCTCATATGGATACTGATGAATTCTAAACACACACACACACATATATATAAAGATACACCTTTAAATGAGTTAGAAGAGTAACTACTATTCATAGAATAAAAATCAAATATAACTTTCAAACCACTAAAGCGGGAAAAAAACTGGAAAAAAAGACTGTCAAACCAAAGGCAGTAAAGAGAACAGGAAGCATGATACATAGAAAAAAATGAGTGAGATATATCTATGAATAAGTTAAGTGTTAGTATTAACAGGGAGAAATCTCAAATGAGGGGGACATGTACATGCTTTTAAAAAACATACCGAAAACAAAATAGAGTTAATAACTGCATTAGCTTTATAGTCAGAGAAACTCTTGCACACGTGTACCAGGAAACATGTACAAGAAAATTTACTGTCAGCAGTTGGTAACAGCAAAAAAAAAACCAAACAACAAAACAAAAAAACTGGGGCAAAAAAATAACCTGTGTTGGCATGGAATGGAGCAACAGCAGCTCTCCTACATTGCTGATGGAGGGTAAGTTAGTACAACCACTGGAGAACAATTTGGCAATATCAAAGTTGAACTGTGCAAACCCTTCCACCTTGCAATTCCATTTCTAGACATTATCCTAAGGAAATTCTTACCATATGTCTAAGAAGCTGTGTGCAAGAACTAACTCATGTTATAATGACAGAAATCAGGAATCATGAAATTGCTAGCAACTGGAGAATGGATAAATGGTGGTACAATTATACAATGGAATACTATTCAGCAGTTAAAATAAAACTAGAACTACAGGAATCATCCTGGATAAATTTTACATACATAATTATAGGTGGCAAAAGTAAGTGACATGCATATCATTTATATTAGGTTTAAAAAGCATAAAACAGTACTTTATGCTACTTAACATCGCTACATGTATTTGGAGCATACATAAAAGCTTTCATGGGAATGACAGATACCAAATTCAATGAAGTAGTTAATTTCAGAGAGGAAGAGAGGGAGAATGAGATTGCAGGCAGTTTCACAAGGAGCTCTAACTGAATGTTAAAATCTGAAGCAAATAAGAGAAAATGTTAAAATGGGATAAAGCTAGATGGTTGGTATACAAGTGTTCATTATATTATTTTCTGTAACTGTACATTCTGGTAATATTTCATATTAAACATTTTAAAGGAAAGTTAAGCTTCCAAGATTCTATAAAAAGAACAAAATAAACCCAAAGAGATAAGAAGAAATTAATGAAGGCATACATTAATGAAAGAGAAATTACTTTTAAGACAGATTTTATCTATAAAACCAAAAGCTGGTTTGATAAATATGATCAAGAAAAAGACTCCAATACAATATATAAGAATATATATATAAGAATATATAAGAATGGTTGAGAACAATATGAGATTTTTTTAAATGTTAGAAAATATAGCTGAAATACTTTTTTTTTAAAGATGGAGTCTCGCTCTGTCCCCCAGGCTGGAGTGCAGTAGCAAAATCTCAGCTCACTGCAAGCTCCGCCTCCCGGGTTCAAGCCATTCTCCTGCTTCAGCCTCCTGAGTAGCTGGGACTACAGGCGCCCGCCACCATGCCCGGCTAATTTTTCATTGTCGTATTTTTAGTAGAGACGGAGTTTCACCGTGTTAGCCAGGATGGTCTCGATCTCCTGACCTCGTGATCCGCCCTCCTCGGCCTCCCAATGTGCTGGGATCACAGGCGTGAGTCACCGCACCCGGCCAATACTTTTCTAGAAAAAACTAATTTTCTCAAGAAGCAAAAGAAAAAATTCTAGGTATCAATAACGATGGACGCTATATAAAAAACAAAACTATCCATTAAGATGGCACCACACCCAGAAGGCTTTAAAGATGAGTTCTTCAAAACCTAAGAAATGTATCATTCACACATGCTATGTCTATTCCAGGTCATACAAAAATAAGTTAACCTGTCTGACTCCTAGCACAACCTGATACCAAAACTAGACAAGGACAGCAAAAGAAAACCATAAGCCAATCTAACTTAGGTGCATACATGAAAATCCAAAATTAACTACACAGCAAATTGCATCCAGCAATATATTGAAAAAATAAGATACCAGGATTCTAAGTTTGGCTCACCATTAGAAAATCTATTATTGTAGTTATTTTATTGTAGAGTAATGGAAAAAAGGCCATACAATCATCTCAAAGACTGATACTGAAAATACTTGGTAAAACTTAGTCATTTGCTGATTAAAAAAAAAACCGATATGGTAAACTACGAAAAGAACATAATTTGCCTATACACCCACACACACACACACCATAAACCTGCAGAAGATATCTTGAATGAAACCTAAGATGCAATCCAAAATAACTCCTGGTAAGAAATAAGTACCTCCGGCTACTATTCAGTGTTGCACTGGATTCTTGGGAAAAGCCAAAATTGTTCTTTACAGATAAATTCTTACCTACAAATCAAAGAGGACTGCCTGTCAAATTTTTAGAATACGAACGTTTAGTGAAGTGTCCAGATAGATCAACAATCAAAAGCCATTCTTATACAAGGATACTAATGGATTAATAGTCTATTAGTAAAAACAAACTACAATAACAAAAATAGCTATGAAAAAATGTTAAATGCGCACAACACCAAGCGAACTGCAACGCTTTACCTGAAAAACAAAGGGAGAACTGAATTAATTTAAAAAAATAGCCACATTGCTGGACGGGAATTCTCAATATTGTACTAGTATCCAATCTCGGCAAATCTACAAAAATATGGAATCCCAAACAAATCCCTGGAAATCTTTGCCATTTGGGCGCCAATCTACTAAAGAAATCGGCCCCAGGGTGTGAGGTTTCTCACATGTGCGTGAAAACGCTTCGAGAGGGGTGCAGCCGCGGACACAAAAACCGTGGCTTGAGTCCCCGCGCCCCTCCCCTCCCCTCCCCTCCCTCCCTCCAGTCCAGCAGCTCTTGCCTAAGGCTCCCGCGACCGGAAGAGTCGCTTCCGCTCCCGCCCCGCTCTGTGGCGTAGGCCGGACATTTCTAGTCGACTGTTGCGCGTGCGCGCGCTGTGACGTTCCCTACGCGGTCGGGCGTTGGGTTTCGCGGCGCTCGCCGCACTGGTTGTTCAGCACCTTCGGTCCGGTTGAGGTTGTCAAGTCGGACCAAACAGGTTGTTTCTCTGCAGTTTCCAGTAAGTGACCGTTCCAGCCGGGGCTGTGGCTAGAGTGTGAAGGCAAACCGGTAGAAGCCGCGCCGCCATTTTCTTCCCACCTCACTCTTTCCTCAATCTCCCTTCGGTCACTCCGAGGGGACTGTTGGTAGCCCCCCTCTGCCCGGTCCCCCGCTAATGAGGCCGCTCCCAAGCTCTGAGTTTCCCCAAAAGATGTGTCCTTTGTCATGAAAGCTCTCGTAGTATTTAAGTGCTAATACTCGACGGCCGCCGACTTCTCAGATGCACCCTGGAGGGTGTGCTCTTGGCCTGACACTTATTAGCCCTTCCGCTTCCTACAGTTGTGATGGGCCCTCAGATACTCACCAGGAAAATGTGATGCCCGCACCACCACTTCTTACTCCAACTTTCTTTGTAATTATGTCCTCTGTTTCAGAATCCTACTGCCGCGGAACAAAAATGTACCAAGGACCATTCCACTTAACGTCCCTCCCTTCCTTCTCAAACCCTTAAGAGTGCCTTAAGAGTAAGGTACTGACCTAAGTGCTTTACATGCATTTTATTTAATCTTCCCACGCAGTCCTTAAGTAGGCAGACATGAGAAAATTGAGGCACAGAAAAGTTTAATAATTTGCTCAAGGCAACATAGGTTGGATGTGGTAGGGCTGAAATTTGGATTTATTGTGTAGCTTACTCAATCTGGTGTTGTTATCATTCATTCCTTTCTCTTTCCCAAATACTGAGTATTCCTTTTTTTCTTAGTTGCTTCTACAGAGGAATTTTTTTCCTTAATGCTGTTTAGAGGGTTCTTCTTGAGAAATTTGGGTTCTGTCTGAAAACCCTTTTCTCAGAGCTCTCCTTACACAGACGCTTAAGTGTTGTTTTTCCAAATCTAAGCTCTAAACTTAATAATATTTTGCATATCCAAAATGTGCTCATGCTTCCTTAAAAAAGTACCCCTAAACCAGTACCCACCAACCAGCCCCCTTCCTCTACCTCAATATGACAATGGTTATCACTATTCTCAGCAAACATTTGGGCAGCTAGCTTATGTAAGACAATAAAGGTAATTGGGGTTTTGAAGAACTCTGAGGTTTAGTTCCGACCTGAAGGAGAAACATGAAAAGGCCTTCATAAAAAGGCCACATAAAATAGCAGATAAATCCCATCTCAGTTGCACAGAATACAAATTGTATAAGAGCAACTTTGGACAAATCAGGTAAAAGTGCTAGATGTGTTTACTCATCTGTAAAATGTTAAGGTTAGGCTAGGTCACTAAAATATTATAAATCTAATTTCAGAGAGAGGAGTGATAACTCTGTACTCACTATTGAGGGAGGTGGAGGCTGTAGTTTGTTTTTAGTGTTTTTTTTTGTTTTTTTGTTTGTTTGTTTTTGAGACAGGGTCTCACTCTGTCGCCCAGGCTGGAGTGCAGTGGCGTGATCAGAGCTCACTGCAGCCTCCACCTCAGCCTCCTGAGTATCTGGGACTACAGGTGTGCACCACCATGCCCGGCTAATTTTTGTATTTTTTGTAGAGACAGGGTCTCACTATGTTGCCCAGGCTGGTCTTGAACTCCTGGCTTCAAGCAGTCCTCCCACCTTGGCCTCCCAAAGTGCTGGGATTACAGGTATGAGCCACTGCACCCCACCTGTAGTGTGTTCTCGATACAGAGACAAGGTTGAAGGATTCAGAGTACAATTTTCTCATTTTGAATATCTGATAAAATCTGTAGACCCTCCATCAACAGAGGATTGGGTAAAGAAAATGTGGTGGTGTGTGTGTGTGTGTGTGTGTGTGTGTGTATGCCATGGAATACTATTTAGCCATTAAAAAGTCATGTTTTTTCAGCAACATGGATAGAACTGGAAGCCATTATCCTAACCGAAATAACTCAGAAAGCCAAATATCACATGTTCTCACTTAAAGCAGGAGCTGAGAAGTGATGGGTACACGTACATATAGACACTGCAGACTACAAAAGGTGGGAGGATGGGAGGGGGGTGAGGGTTGAAAAGTTACATACTGGGAACAATGCTCACAATTTTGGTAATGGGTACACTAAAAGCCCAGGCTTCACCACTGTGCAATATGTACATCTAAGAATTCTGCACTCGTACCCTCTAAATATATAAAAATTATGTTTTTCTGAGACAGTCTTGCTTTGTCACCCAGGCTGGTGCAATCTTGGCTCACTGCAACATCTGCCTCCTGGGTTCAAGTGATTCTCATGCTTCAGCCTCCCGAGTAGCTGGGACTATAGGTGTGCACCATCACACCTGACTAATTTTTGTAACTTTAGTAGATATGGGTTTTGCTACGTTGGCCTGGGTGGTCTCAAACTCCTGGCCTAAGCAATCAACCCACCCCGGCCTTCCCAAGTGCTAGGATTATAGGTGTGAGCCATGAGACCCAGCCTAAAAATAAATTTTTTAAAAAAGCTGTAGATCTTGCTCTGGAAATAAAATTCACATCCATACAACATTTTATGCTTAATTTTAGGAGATTTGTTGACTACTCCTTCTCAAATTTAAATGTTAAAAACCCTTGATTTAGGGAAAAAGTATTATTCAGAACACCAGAACTAAGCCAGATGTGGAAGGCCTTTATCTTGTGGGCAGTGTTGAACCATTTGAGGTCTAAAAAGATAAATCTGGTAGCAGTATGAAAAATGCATGACAGTGGGAAAAAGCAACGAGACTAGTTAAGTGGCAGGGGAATCATTTAGGTAGGAGACTGTGCCAAGCAGTATTGGGAATGAAGAGAAATCAGAAGAAGTATTGACAAGGACAAATCAAATATCTGACTGGATATGGAATTGAAAGAGGAAATCAATGATAACAAGGTTCGAGGATCAGTTATGCTGCAGGTCTACCTTGTCTTCAGTATTTTATTGAAGTCATTCCTATAACATCTGTGCTAGTGCTTGCTTCAGTAGCACATATACTAAAATTGGAATGATACAGAGAAGATCAGCAAATAAAAATTTAAGTACAAATTTAAAAAAGAAACAAACATACGTGCTCTAAGAGCACTCCCAACCCAACAGACATTAAAAAGGATGAGGTAATACACGAACACCTCTGTACTTATAAATTTGATAATGTGAGAGAAATGGGCCACTATCAAAATTACCAAAACTCACCCAGGACAAAATAGGTAAATGAAATAGTCCTATAAGTATTAAAGAAATAGAATTTGTGAGAAAAACGAACAAACAAAACGACAACCAAAAAACAAACCCTGGCAAGAGTCTTCTTGCCAGGAAGAAAAAAAAAGAATAATAACTTTAAAAAAAAAGAAAGCTCCAGGCCGAGATAATTTCACTGGCAAATTTCACCAAACATTCAAGGATGAAAAAATAACAGTTCTCTTACAAGCTCTTTGGATCGTAGAAAAGGAAGAAACACTTAACTCATTTTATGAAGGCAGCATTTTCTGGATACCAAAACCAGATAAAGACAATACAAAAAACAAATCTAAAAGTTAAAATCCCTCATGAACAAAGATACAACTTCCTCAAAAAATAATAGCAAATTGAATTCAGCAGTATATTAGAAAAATAGTACATTGTGACGAAGTCTCATCCCAGGAATTCAATATTTGAACATCATATAATCCTCCATATTAACAGACTAAATAAGAAAAACTACATGATGCTATTAATAGATGCAGAAAAACACTTAAGAAGATTCAGCATTCATTCATTATTCTTAAAACTCAGCAAACAAGTAATAGAAGAGAACCTAATAAAAGTCATCGACAAAACCCATAGCTATTGTTATATTTAATGGTGAAAGACTGAATGCTCTCTACCCTCCAAGATTGGGAACTAGGCAAGGATGTCTCTTCCACTACTGTTTAATATTTTACTGGAAATCCTAGCAATTATAGTAAGTCAAGAAAATGGGAGAAAAAGCATTCTGATTGGAAAAGAAGAAATAAAATTATATTTGCAGATGACAATTATATAGTAAGTCTCAAGAAGTCTATTTAAAAAGCTGGTAGAGCTAACAAATTTAGCAGGTTACAGGATACAAGCTTAACATACATAATCCTATTTCTACACTAACAATGAACCGTTGGAAACTGACCCACTCTCCTCCCTCACAAATGAAATACTTAGGCAGAAATCTAACAAAGTATGTGTGGGATTTGGAAACTGACCCAATCTCCTCCCTCACAAATGAAATACTTAGGTAGAAATCTAACAAAGTATGTGTGGGATTTGGAAACTGACCCACTCTCTTCCCTCAGAAGTGAAATACTCTGGTATAAATCTAACAAAGTATGTGTGGGATTTGGAAACTGACCCACTGTCCTCCCTCACAAGTGAAATACTCTGGTATAAATCTAACAAAGTGTGTGCGGGATTTGTGTGCTAAAAACTACAAAATGCTGATGAAAGAAGACCCATAGTGTTCATGGATTGGAAAATTCAGTATAGTTAAAATGTCAGTTCTCCCTAAATAGATCCATGAATTTGATTACAGTCAAAGTCCAAGCAAGATTTTTGTAGGCATAGGTTACTTGATTGTAAAGTTGATAAGGAAAGGTAAAGGAACTAAATTAGCAAAAGAGTTTTTAGAACGAAGAGCAGAGCTGAAGGATTCACATGACCTGATTTTAAAACCTAAAATTCTTTTTTTTTTTTTTTTTTTTTTTTTGAGATGGAGTCTCGCTCTGTCCCCCAGGCTGGAGTGCAGTGGCAGGATCTTGGCTCACTGCAAGCTCCGCCTTCTGGGTTCACACCATTCTCCTGCCTCAGCCTCCTGAGTAGCTGGGACTACAGGCACCTGCCACCATGCCTGCCTAATTTTTTGTATTTTTAGTAGAGACGGGGTTTCACTGTGTTAGCCAGGATGGTCTCCATCTCCTGACCTCGTGATCTGCCCGCCTCGGCCTCCCAAAGTGCTGGGATTACAGGCATGAGCCACGGCGCCCAGCCTAAAACCTAAAATTCTTTAGGAAAACATAGAAGAAAATGTTTGTGACATTGGGTTAGGCAAAGAATTATTAGGTAACAACAAAAGCAGTATCTATGAAGAAAAAGATCAATTGAATTTCATCAAAAAATATTTTGCTATATAAAGGGTACCGTAAAGAGAATGAAAGACAAACCATGTTAGGAGAAAATATTTGCAAATCACATACTTGACCAAAGGCTTTTATATCCAGAATATATAAAGAATTTCCAAAACCTAACAAGAAACCAAATAACCCAATTAAAAAAATAGGCAAAAAGTTGGACACTTCGCCAGTGATATACAGCTAGCAAATAAGCACGTGAAAATACGTTCAACATCATTAATCATTAGGGAAATGCAAATTAAAACCAGGAGGTAATATTAAACAGTTACCAGAATGGATAGAATTAAAAAATAATACCAAGTCCTGACAAGGATGTGGAGCAACTAGAACATTCATGCATTACTACAGCCACTTTGGTGAACAGTTGTGCAGTTTCTTAGGAAGTTAAGCATACACTTACTATGTAACCCTGCAATTCCACTTTTGTGTGTTTATCCTAGGGAAATAAAAATTTACGTTAACACAAAAATCTGTAAATGAATGTTTATAGCAGCATTATTTATAATTGCCCAAAATGTCCTAAAAGGTTGTTTCAACATTTGAAAATTAATCAGTGTAATCTACCATATTAGCAGACTAAACAAGAAGAACTACATGAACTAAATGTCCCTAAGTGAGTGAATGTGGATAAACACAGTGTGGTACATCTTCACAATGGAATGGGACTGGGTAAAAAGGAACAAACACTGATATATGCAGTAGCTTCGATGAATCTCAGGTGTGTTATATTAAGTGAAGGAAACCAATATCAAATGGTTAAATACTTATGATTTCATTTATATGACATTCTGGAAAAAGTAAAACTAAACGGACAGTGAACAGATAGATGAGTGGTTGCCCAGGGTTAAAGGTGGGGAGAGGGTCTCACTACCAGGGAGTAGCATGAGGAAATTCTTTGGGTATTGGAATTGTTCTGTATCCTGTTAATGGTGGTTACAAGTATCTATGTGTGTGTTAAAACTCTTAATACTGTACACACGTGAATTTTACTGTATATAAATTTCAGTAAATTTTACTGAAAAATTTTTTAAGAAAAAAACCAATAGTCTAGAATCTCATTTTAAAAACTCACCCCGACCTCAGTAATTCCTCCAACCACTATGCCATTTTTCTGCTTTCATGGTAAAATATAGTTTATTGTCTTTTATTTCCTCACTTCCCAATTCACTCTTTTTAAAAAACTTTTAAAAACATTTAGCAACATAATATGTGCACATGATTAAAAGATCAAATTGCATGTAAGAGTTGATAATGAAAAGCAATAGTCTCCATCCCACCTGCTTTCTCCTCTTTCTGGATCCACATCCCTAGAGACAAACACCGTAAACATTTTTTATGTTTAGTTATTTTGGTGATTGTTTCTGCATTTCTAAATAGTATGCCCATACTGTTTTTTCTCAGTCAAATTTATTTATTGTCCTCTGAGTTTCTGCTGTGATAGATGAGGGCTCATCTCAATTTTAACAGCCTCTGCTCCTGCTGGCTGCTTTCTCCACAGATTTCATAAAGTGTTTTTATTTTCTCTTTTGTTTACTCTTGTAGACTTAAGCAATTAATATATATAAGCACATATTTCTTGTTCTATCACTATCACAAGTTTTATCACTCTCTCTTGATTTCATAGGATATTAGCATTCCTTTCCCGCTACCTTTTCTTTTTCTTCTCCACCTTTCGTGTCCTGACAGCTCTGCCTTTACATTTATAGCATTATAATTGGATAAGTTAACTTTTGTTCTATAACTGTTATGAACACTTCAGTGTTTTCCTCTGTAAATTGGATTCACATGTTAAAAACCAATGAAAATAGTTAGGCTCAGTGGCTCACATCTGTAATCTGAACACTTTGGGAGACTTAGGAAGGAGGATCGCTTGAGCCCTGGAGTTTGGAGCTGTCATAAGCTATGATTGCACCACTGCATTTCAGCTTGGGCAGCAAAGCAACACCCTGCCTAAATAAATAAATAAGGTAAAAATAAATAAAATGAAAAAATAAAAACTCAAAATAACATTTTATTGTGACTTTATAAATATTATTCATTGCAAGTCTCAGGAATGTGCCTAGGTTATATTTCTCTTGAAGTCCATGGTTTTTAGCGAAATGTTGCTAGTATTCTTGATAACAACTTTGTTAGAACCCATTGATATTTTGTTCTTATTTGGAACTATTGCTCTTGAGTCCTTTGAACAGCTTTATCCTGAGATTTTTTTTTCCTTTGAACCCCTGCAGTTTTCCACACTTTTATACTCCTCACCTTTTACTTTCTTTGTTTATTGCTTAACCATAATTTTCATATGACTAGGAAGGAAGTCTGGCATCTTGGATGAGAATTCCCACTTACTCTTTGTGTGCTTGGAGGAGATTTATTTACTTTTAAATTTTTGTCAAAATAATATTTATTCATTTTAAAAACCAAAAAATACTACAGTACTCCATCTAACTTGCCATAGGCAGCTTCCTTCAATTCTTTTAGCTCTTTCTCTAGATACATATTTTAAAATAATATATTTATAGTAATGTTTCCTAATTTAGACAATATCCACCTTAGACATTATCTTTTGACTTTCAGTTACGAAAGATGAGTATTTAGTACTCCATTTGTGCTGTTTTCCTTTTGTGGTATCATTCAGCCTTGTGGCTTCAAACATTGTACTGAAGATTCTCAGACTTATTACTGTGAGTGCCTTTTCTCTATTCAAATAATCTTTGTTGTCAACATGAAGTAAATAACATATTTACTTAGTCTCTAGGCATCTACTAAATTGCTATTTAGGTATACCTTGAAAAGAAACTTCTGGGCCGGGCATGATGGCTCACGCCTGTAATCCCAGCACTTTGGTAGGCCAAGGCGGGCAGATCGTTTGAGGTCAGGAGTTCCAGACCAGCCTACCCAACATGGTGAAACCCTGTCTCTACTAAAAATGCAAAAAAAAATGAGCCAGGCGTGGTGGTGGGCGCTTGTAATCCCAGCTACTCAGGAGGCTGAGGCACAAGAATCACTTGAACCCAGGAGGCAGAGGTTGCAGTGAGCCGAGATTGCGCAACTGCGCTCCAGCCTGGTTGACAGAGTGAGACTCTGTCTCAAAAAGAAAAACTTTATGATTTTCTGTTCTGTATTTTAGTGGAATATTATTCCAAACATATTCCTTCCTTAGTGTTGGCATATCTCAGTTAATGGTATTGTTGTCTACCCAATTGGTCATGCCAACATTCTAGAAGTTATCCTTATTTCTTTCTTTCCTTCATAGCCAGTCCACCAGTAATTCCTGGTGATTCTGATTCTTGAATTGAGCCTCTTCTTTCTGTCTCTATTACTACTACTCTAGTCCATTTGTTCTCAGTAGAATTGTGGTTCTCAACAGTGGTTGCCCCCCAAGGGACAGTTGTTAATGTCTGGAGCCATTTTGGGTCGTCACACATAAAGGTGCTATTGGCATCTAGTGGGTAGAGGCCAGAAATGTGGCTCAACAGCCTAAAATCCATAGGAAAGCCCTTCACAACAAAGAATAATCCAGCCCAAAATGTTAGTGCTGAGGTTGTTATCATTTTCATTTTCTTTGTCCCCAGAAATATTTTGCATTTTAAATTCTCTAATAATGTGTCAATATTTTGGTTTTATAGACATGGCAGGGAGGTTTAATAGACATGGATAAGAAGTCCACTCACAGAAATCCTGAAGATGCCAGGGCTGGCAAATATGAAGGTAGGAGTTTATGCTTGCTTTAAGGCCTTTTGAGTAATTTAAGATACATTTTATGAATTAATGTGTATGTTTCTCATATGTTGCTAATATTTGGGAAAGTAATTGTGTTCCATTTTATATCTCTTTAAGGTAAACACAAACGAAAGAAAAGAAGAAAGCAAAACCAAAACCAGCACCGATCCCGACATAGATCAGTGACGTCTTTTTCTTCAGATGATCCTATGTTTCCTTCTTCCTCATCATCGTCTTCAGGAAGCCAGACAGATTCAAGTATTGAAGGTATGTTTATCATCCTGTTAAGGTTTCATATTTATAAGTTAGGTGATTTAGAAAAAAAATACTAAACATGTTATAATTTTTGTTTATTCAACTAATATTTATTGAGCATACTCACTATGTACCAGACATAATGGTAAACATGCCATGGTCCCTTCAGACAAGGAACTTTTATTATATTAAGCAATATTAGGAATGATAGAGGAGTTAAAAAGAATAAAAAAGAAAATATATTAGGCAATAAAACAAGCAAATACTTCATTACAATGCAGGTGAGTGCTATTACTTCACCTGCATATGTCATGGGGACAAGGAAGGGCTTTGAAGAGGAAATGATTATCTAAACTGAGAGGTGGAGGATGAATAGGCATTTTCAAGCAAAGGCAAGGAAGTGAAATTACGGAATATTTATTATAGGCTAAAGAAATTGCATGTGCTAACCACTATTAACATTTGGGTTCCTAATTCAAGTAATATGTCCCAGCTGCAAAGGGAGCTGGGGAAGCAAGATTGGCTTCTTCAGCACTGATGGTGAAAGGCATGTGGACAAATATTCACTGAACATAGGAGGCGGAATCAGATACTAGGCAATCAAAATATAACAAATGTTCTCCACACTCAACCCTAGACAAGATCAGTTGACTGGCTCACTTTAAATTACTCCTTTGTCTCACCTACCTTTACTCTCTCAATGTTTGTAAGTTGTGTTGTAATTAGTTTTTCTATCGGCTAATTTGGTATTAATAAGTAGCATACTTGTAACTCTGCTTCTTGTTCCATCAATTGTAGTCAATTATTTTATTCTGTCTTACATAAGTTAAATATATTGGTATATCTATCCTTTCCTCCATTTTTTTCTCCCCATTGTCTTCTTTTAGGTTTTCAGTAGTTAATATCTACAACAAGAATTGTCTTTCTTTTTTCGTTCATAGATTCACTTTAAATCTTTAAGACCAATAATTAGCATTTAAATCACTATCATTATATAAATAGTGTTACTACAGTGCCAAGTCATATGCAAGAATTGCATTTCCATTTCATGGATCTAATGTTATGATTGCTAGGACTCTCAAAGGAGAATGTTTTAGTCACAGCATCAAGTACATCATTTATATTCTATCAGTTGCTTAAAACCGTGCTGTATCTTAGTTTTTGCTTCGTATTCGAACCATCACTTTCTCATAGTTTTTGTTTTTCTTAGAGTTTCTAGTTCTCCCTCTTGTTTTTATTGTTGACAAAAAGATCATATAACTGCCATAATGAAAAGATTTTCCATCCTTTTAATTATACTATTCCTTAGAGTTCATTTCTTTTCTCTGGAGATGTTCTTGCCTGCCTAGTGTAGTCTAGACCATTTTCTACCCTCAAGGCCTGCTATATCTCTTATCCTAGGATCTCCCCTCGCTGGTCTTCTGGGTTGGATCCATTGTTTTCTTAGATTCATGTCTTCCTGTCTCTTAGTGTTCTGCCTTGACTGTTAGAGTACACTGTCAAATAACTTTTTACAAAATGTTGTCTGGGAAGTAAATTTTCTGAGTCTTGGCATATCTCAAAATGTCATTATTCTACCCTCCCACTAATTGATAATTTCAAAATGATTCTTCCCAAACCCAGTTTCCAGAAGCAGGCATTTCAAACTCTTTTAGCAGTCTGTTTTGATACCTATCTCTGATAGATATGATTCCATAATTTGTTTATGTAATCATTTCTACATTTTTCAGTTTTAGGCTCTATGGATGATTAGAATTTAGCTTTTAATTTTTTTATTTTTATTTATTTATTTTTTTTGAGACGGAGTTTCGCTCTGTCACCCAGGCTGGAGTGCAGTGGCGCAATCTTGGCTCACTGCAAGCTCCGCCTCCCAGGTTCACGCCATTCTCCTGCCTCAGCCTCCCGAGTAGCTGGGACTACAGGTGCCCGCGACCACGCCTGGCAAATTTTTTGTGTTTTTAGTAGAGATGGAGTTTCACCATGTTAGCCAGGATGTTCTCAATCCTTGTGATCCGCCCGCCTCGGCCTCCCAAAGTGCTGGGATTACAGGCGTGAGCCACCGCGCCCGGCCGAATTTAGCTACTTTTTAAACCACTATTTCTCCCTACATTTACTTTCTTCCCCCCATCCACCTAAATAGGATTTCATTATTATAACTTTGATAATTTAATACTTTAATTGTTATGGCTATGTAGATGCTATGCTGTTCACAGCTGAACCATATAATGGTTCCTTTCTAGCACAACTTGTTTATTCCTTACAGTTAATTATTATTATTATTATTATTATTTTATTTTATTTATTTATTTTTTGAGATGGAGTCTTGCTCTGTTGCCTAGGCTGGTGTGCAGTGGTGCGATCTTGGCTCACTGCAGCCTCTGCCTCCCAGGTTCAAGTGATTCTCCTGCCTCAGCCTCCTGAGTAGCTGGGATTACAGGGGTGTGCCACCACACCTGGCTAATTTTTTCTATTTTTAGTAGAGATAGGATCTCACTATGTTAGCCAGGATGGTCTCGATCTCCTGACTTCATGATCTGCTTGCCTTGGCCTCCCAAAGTGCTGGGATTACAGGCATGAACCACCGCACCTAGTCAATAAAATTTGTTTAGTTTTCTGTGTTTGTGATGTGTTGTAGTATAAATTACCTTTGAAAAGGTTCAGACACATCAGGTATTCAGTTAATTTCATTTCGGGATTCTCTCCTAGATCCATTTAACATACTCCATTTGGACTTACTGTTCTCAAGGCCTGTTAAGCAACTGTGATATTAAGTTCTTTTGTCTTCATTCTGGATATATCCTTTACCTCTCTTTTGGGTTTGGTCGCCCATTTTCTGGATCATATTGTTTCTTCCTCCTTTATTTTCCCCTTATTTTACTGGATAACCTATAACTTTCAGGAAAAAGATGAGCAGCTAATTCCTATTCAGTTTGTAGTTATGGGTTTATACTATTACATAAATTTCTTTTATTGACTTCTGCTTCCAGTAACACAGACCCTCTGTAGAATACCCAGGAGGGATAGGAATGAATCAGAGGTAAGTGGAGCCTTACTGGAATTGTAATCTCATCTCTGCCTAGTCCCCGGTTGGGTTTCGATCATCATCCGTCATTCTGTTTGCCTAGTGGAGGATAAATAATCTTGAGAGATGGATAGCATCATCTAGAATCTCTAGAATTTTTTAATACAGCATACATAACTTTTAATAAAAAAAATTACTAGATATGCCTACATGACTGAAAAACAAGAGAAAAAAATAGTAACAGCCCTACAGGTAATCCAGATGTTGAGTTAGCTGGCAATGAAGTTTAAATAGTTATGATTAATATATTTAAGAAAATAGAGATTTATCAACTGTAAGAAAGAATCAGGTATAAATCCTGGAATAAAAAATTCATTATCTAAAATTAACAATTTAGATAGATTTTTTCAGTAGATTAGACACACACACAAAAAGAATTAGTAAACTAGAAGTCACATCAGGAGGGAAAAAAAAGAAAGATACAGAAGAAAATGTTAGAGACATGTGAGACACAGTAATGAGATCTAACATTGTAATTGGAATCAAAGAAGGAAAGAAAAACAAATGAGGAAGAAGCAATATATAAAGAGAATAATGCTTAAAAGTTTCCCAGAAACCGATGAAAGACATCAACTAAAGATTCAAGAAACTGACATCCCCAAGCTGGATAATACAAAAATCACATCGGTAACTTTTGCTTCTAGTCAGGAAAATGGTTGTCTTTTGTAGAACGGAGTAGTTAATGTGGTGGCAAATTAACATTCTCCTTTTCCATGTTCTTTTTCTTTTTTTTTTTCTTCTTTTTTTTTTTTTTTTTTAATTTTGAGACAGTCTCGCTCTGTTGCCCAGGCTGGAGTGCAGTGGCACAATCTCAGCTTACTGCAACCTCCGCCTCCCAGGTTCAAGTGATTTTCCTGCTTCAGCCTCTTCAGTAGCTGAGATTACAAGTGTCCACCACCATGCATGGCTAATTTTTGTATTTTTAGTAAAGATGAGGTTTCGCCATGTTCCCCAGGCTGATCTCAAACTCCTGACCTCAAGTGATCCACTTGCCTCGGCCTCCCAAAGTGCTGGGATTACAGACATGAGCCACCACACCCGTCCTCCTTTTCCATTTTCTAATTAAAATAATTCATTTTTTATATTTTCCAATAGACTGCTTAATAGTTGCATTCACATAGTTTCTGCTAATAACACCTTATACTCCCTAGATTAACTAGAGGTTGCATTCTGGTGGACCTAGGAGAGTATTGTATTTTAGATGGGTTCCTAAATGCCATATATTTATACTGGGATACAACTATAATTAAACTTTTTTCTTTTTTCTTCTTTTTTTCGAGACAGTGCCTCACTCTGTCACCCAAGCTGGAGTGCAGTAGCATGATCTTGGCTCGCTGCAGCCTTGACCTGCTGGGCTCAAGTGATCCTCTCACCTCAGCCTGCTGAGTAGCTGGGACTACAGGTGCACTCCACCATGCCTGGCTCATTTTTGTACTTTTGGTAGGGGCATGGTTTTGCGATGTTGCCCAGGCTGGTGTCAAACTCCTGAGCTCAAGTGATCTGCCTGCTTCGGCCTCCCAAAATGCTGGAATTACAGATGTGCACCACCATGCCTGGCAAATTAAACAGTTTTATCTGCTATTTGTATCTTGTAAGATTCTTCCAACAAGCATAATAAAGTTGATTAAAATATCAATTATTTTAATCCTTCAAATTCTTTAATCAGTAAAATAATTTTTAATGTTAGAGCTGAAACTTCCAAATCTTTTTAAACTTTTAGATGCTGCCAAGGGAAAAATTAAGAAGAAGAGAAGAGAGAAAACAAATAAATGGGAAAAAAGAAAGGTTAGTAATTGTGAGTAATATAAGAATAAGATTTGGCTATTAGAGGATATTGTACGTATTAATTAAGAAACAGAATCTATAAGGAATTTGAAGAGATAAAAGTCAAAGATTGGTTAACATGGTAGTTAACATGGTGCTAAGCTTATAGTGTCCTTTGCTGCTTTTCAAATACTTCTCAGAAAACTATGCAGACGGGTAAAACCTTATAATTACAATTCTTTAGATTCTTTTTAATTTTGGTGTTAACATAGTTATAAAATAGCCTATGTGCTTTGAAATAAATGCAAGTAATAGAGACATAAATTAAATGAAAGGTAAAATAGCTACACTCTTTTCTCTTTATTTAATTTCCCTATGGGTATCACTCAAGTATTTGCTGTACAACCTTAGATTTTTCCTCTGTGCACATGGAAATAAATAAAATAAATATAAATAAATATGTATAGTTTTATGTACTATATAATACACATATAATTTTATGCTAACAAAAATAGTCTATCAATTTGCTTCTCTAAATTTATTTCATATAATAGTTTATGAACTATGTGTAACATATATAAAACAGACAATAGTAAAGCATCATGAACCTATTTAACTAGAACATTACCAATTATGATTATCTTTCAGTATTTTTCTTCCTCCTTCTATTCACTTGCCTTCGCATTAAAAGTAATATCCTAAATTTTGTGTTGCTCCTTCTCATGCCTTTTGAAAATCACTTTATTACAAATGGATGTATGTTGAAATATTATTTTGTTTAGCTTATTTGGTTTGGGGTTTTATAAGAATAATATATTTTCTGCAGTTTTCTCTAGCTACTTTTTCACACAATATTTTGTTTTTATGATGTATTCATATTTTTGTGTAGCTGTAGTTCATTAATTTTCTCTGCCATATAATACTCTATTGTGTGAATAAAGCACAATTTATCCATTGTCCTGTGGATGGACATTTACGATGTTTCTAATTTTTTTCCTTGTATTTAAAAAAAGATTTTGTGAGTACCCAGTAGGTGAGTGTATTTATGGGATATATGAGATATTTTGATACAGGCATGCAATGCATAATAATCCTATCAGGGTAAATGGGGTATCCATCACCTCAAGCTTTTATCCTTTCTTTGTGTTACAAACAATTCACTTACACTCTTTTAGTTATTTTATTTTATTTTTTATTCTTATTTATTTTTATTTGTTTGAGACAGAGTCTTGTCCTGTTGCTCAGGCTGGAGTGCAATGATGCGACCTCGGCTCACTGCAACCTCTGCCTCCCGGATTCAAGCAATTCTCCTGCCACAGCCTCCTAAGTAGCTAGGACTACACGCATGCACCACCACACCTGGCTAATTTTTGTATTTTTAGTAGGGACGGGGTTTCACCTGGTTGGCCAGGCTGGTCTCGAACTCCTGACCTCATGTGATCCGTCCACTTCAGCGTCCCAAAGTGCTGGGATTACAGGCATGAGCCACCGTGCCCTGCCTCTTTTAGTTATTTTTAAATGTACAATAAATTGTTGTTGACTGTAATCACCCTGTTGTGCTATAAAATACGAAATCTTATACATTCTAGCTATATTTTTATACTCATTAATCATCCTCCTTTCCCCACCTTCAACTACCCTTCTAAGCCTCTGGTAACGATCGTTCTGGTATCACCATGAGTTTATTTGTTTTCATTTTTAGCTCCCACAAATAGGTGACAACATGTGAATTTTGTCTTTCTGTGCCTGGCTTTTGTCACTTAACAATGACCTCCATTTCCATCCCTTGTTGCAAGTGACAGCATCTCATTTTTTTTTTTTTTTTGGCTGAATAGTGCTCCGTTGTGTATTTGTACCACATTCATCTGTTGATGGACGTTTAGATTGCTTCCAGATCTTGGCTATTGTTGCTGAATTCTTTTTCTCAGCATGGAACGTCCCTGAGAAAGAGAATGCACGCCTAGGGGTAGGTCTCTGAACTGGCCCCCCCGGGGCGTACCTGTCTCTTATGGTTGAGACTGCAGGGACGAAATAAACTCCAGTCTCCCATAGCGCTCCCAGGCTTATTAGGAAGAGGAAATTCCCACCTAATAAATTTTGGTCACACCGGTTGATCTCAAAACCCTGTCTCCTGATAAGATGTTATCAATGACAGTGGTGCCCAAAACTTCATTAGCAATTTTAATTTCGCCTCGGTCCTGTGGTCCTGTGATCTCGCCCTGCCTCCACTTGCCTTGTGATATTCTATTACCCTGTTAAGTACTTGATGTCTGTCACCCACACCTATTCGTATACTCCCTCCCCTTTTGAAACTCCCTAATAAAAACTTGCTGGTTATTGTGGCTTGTGGGGCATCATGGATCCTAACAACGTGTGATGTCTCCCCCGGACGCCCAGCTTTAAAATTTCTCTTTTGTACTCTGTCCCTTTATTTCTCAAGCCAGCCGACGCTTAGGAAAATAGAAAAGAACCTACATGATTATCGGGGCAGGTCCCCCGATATCTGGCGCCCACGTGGTCTTTCTTTTTTCCTAAGTGCATGAGGGAACCCGATTCCCTTTGGTAGGTGCGGTGAAACATCAATCGGCTTGGTCCACAGATAAGCGTGTTCAACTCCCCGACGAGTGGTGAGTAATCTGTGTAAGGTCTGGGTTAACTATGGGTCATTTGTAATCTAAGAAACTCCTGTTAAAACAGGTAACCATGAAAAATATGATCACTCTATTCAGGACAGTAGAAAAATACTGTTCTTGGTTTCCTGAAAAAGGAACCGTGTATATAAAATTGTGTCATTTTGTTATCACTCTATTCAGGGCAGTACAAAAATACTGTCCTTGGTTTCCTGAAAAAGGAACCGTGTATATAAAATTGTGTGATTGTGTTCGTAAAGCATTCCGAAAACTGGTCTCGGCAGGGTATTATGTTCCCATCACTGTTTGGGGTGCTTGGGCCTTGGTGCATGCCATCTTAGTGGCTTGCCAATCTCGTGACCCCCTGCAGTTGCCGCAGTTTTCTGCCTTTTCCTCAGTTTCTCTGCCTTTTTCTCAACCTTCCTCTACCACATGGCCTTCGTTCAGACTCTCCCTTCAGCTACTCCTCCCCTACCTAATGATTCTGAAAATTCGATGTCTAACTCTGGTAACTTTGGCTTAAAGTTACCCCCTACTTTTCTTACTTCTTCTCACGAAAAGCCAGTACTTCAAACTCCTGCGGCTGCGACTCACACAGCCCGGTGCCATAGATATGCTAATTCTTCTCTCTTCAAACCTCCAGCATCAACTAATGGCTCTGGGACCAAACTACAATTTACCTATCATTCTCCAGGCCCTCCCCCATCCACTACAGCCCCTCACCCTCCTGTCGTTTCAGTTCCTCAACCGGTCTGCATCGATACGCGCCGCTGAATCTTACCTTTTTAAAAACAATTTAAGGATGCTTGTACTCAGTATGGTCCTACTTTTCCTTATGTTCAAATGGTATTGCAAACTTTTTGTACTGAGGTCGCTTTGCTTCCTTTAGACTGTGACCTTTTGGCAAAAAGCTGTTCTAACTCCATCTCAGCCTGGTGGTCAGAGGAGGCCTGTTTTCAGGCTCAGCTAAATCGGAGTAATGACATTCTAGTTACTCAGGCTCAGCTCACAGGCTCCAATAGTTTCTCTGATACTTATGCCCAATTAAACTTTGATACTTTTACCACAAAACAAGTAACAAAGGTGTGTATGAGAGCTTAGGATAGATTACACTCCCCAGGCCAAGCTCCTGTTTCTTTTACTGCTGTTAAACAAGCTCAATTGCTTTCACTACCTAATATCGTTTTAAACGAAGGAGATAAGACATGTGGCCCTGGGATGGGCTCCGGAAGTGAAAAGGCCGCTTATTGGGTTAATGTAATTTCTAAACAACGGCCCACCTACACCATACACATTAAAGGAAAAAAGTTTGAGGGCCTAGTGGATACTGGTGCTGATGTTTCTGTTATTTCCTCTAGTTTATGGCCTTCCTCTTGGCTTAAACATCCCACAACATCACAACATGTGAATTTTGTCTTTCTGTGCCTGGCTTTTGTCACTTAACTATGACCTCCATTTCCATCCCTTGTTGCAAGTGACAGCATCTCATTTTTTTTTTTTTTTGGCTGAATAATGCTCCGTTGTGTATTTGTACCACATTCATCTGTTGATGGACGTTTAGATTGCTTCCAGATCTTGGCTATTGTGAATAATGCTGCAGTAAACACCAGAGTGCAGATATCTCTTTGACATACTGATTTCCTTTCTTTTGGGTCTATACCTAGGAATGAGATTGTTGGATCTTATGGTAGCTCTCTTCTTAGTTTTTTGAGGAACTTCCAAACTGTTCTCCATAGTGGTTATACTAATTTATATTCCTGCCAACAGTGTATGAGGGTTCCCCTTTCTCAGCATCCTTCTCAGCATTTGTTATTGCCTGTCTTTTGGATAAAACCGATTTTACCTAGGGTGAGATGATATCTCATTATAGTTTTGATTTGCATTTCTTTGATAATCAGTGATGTTGAGCACCTTTTCATATGCCTGTTTGCCATTTGTGTGTCTTCTTTTGGGAAATGTCTATTCAGACCTTTTGCCCATTTAAAAATAGGATTATTAGATTTTTTCCTATAGAGTTGTTTGAGCTTGTTTTATATTCAAGGGTTATCAATCCCTTGTCAGAAGGATAGTTTGAAGGAATTTTCTCCCATTCTGTGGGTTGTCTCTTCATTTTGTTAATTGTTTCCTTTGCAGTGCAGAAGCTTTTTAACTTCATATGATCCCATTTGTACATTTGTGTTTCAGTTGCCTGTGCTCGTAGGGTATTACTCAAGAAATCGTTGACCAGTCCAATGTCCTAGAGAGTTTCTCCTAATGTTTTCTTGTAGTAGTTTTATAGTTTTTGGTCATAAATTTAAGTCTTTAATACATTTTGATTTGATTTTTGTATCTGGCAAGAGATGGAGGTCTAGTTTCATTCTTCTACATATGGATATCCAATTTTCCCAGCACCATTTATTGAAGAGAATGTCTTTTCCCCAATATATCCTTTTGGTACCTTTGTCAAAAATGAGTTCACTGTAGATGTACGTGTTTGTTTCTGGGTTCTCTATTCTGTTCCATTGGTCTGTGTGTCTGTTTTTATGCCAGTACCATGCTGTTTGGGTTACTGTAGCTTTGTAGTATAATTTGAAGTCAAGTAATGTGATTCCTCCAGTTTTTTTCTTTTTGCTCAGGATAGCTTTGGCTATTCTGGGTCTTTTCTTGTTCTGTATAAATTTTAGGACTTTTTTTCCAATTTGGTATTTTCATAGGGATTGCATTAAATCTGTAGACTGCTTTAGAGAGTATGGATATTTTAACAATATTGATTCTTCCAATCCATGAACATGGACTATTTTTTCTTTTTTGTGGTCTTTTTAATTTCTTACATCAATGTTTTATTCTTTTCATTGTAAAGATCTTTCACTGTTTTTTTTTTATACTTTAAGTTCTAGGGTACATGTACACAACGTGCAGGTTTGTATACATGTATGTATGTATACATGTGCCATGTTGGTGTGCTGCACCTATTAACTCCTCATTTACATTAGTTATATCTCCTAATGCTATCCCTCCCCCCTCCCCCAACCCCACGACAGGCCCCAGTGTGTGATGTTCCCCACCCTGTGTCCAAGTATTCTTATTGTTCAGTTCCCACCTATGAGTGAGAACATGCGGTGTTTGGTTTTCTGTCTTTGCGATAGTTTGCTCAGAATGATGGTTTCCAGCTTCATCCATGTCCCTGCAAAGGACATGAGCTCATCCTTTTTTGTGGATGCATGGTATTCCATGGTTTATATGTGCCACATTTTCTTAATCCAGTCTATTATTGAAGGACTTTTAGGTTGGTTCCAAGTCTTTGCTATTGTGAATAGTGCTGCAGTAAACATACGTGTGAGTGTGTCTTTATAGCAGCATGATTTATAATCCTTTGGGTGTATACCCAGTAATGGGATCGCTGGGTCAAATGGTATTTCTAGTTCTAGATCCTTGAGGAATGGCCACATTGTCTTCCACAATGGTCGAACTAGTTTACAGTCCCACCAACAGTGTAAAAGTGTTCCTATTTCTCCACATCCTCTCCAGCACCTGTTGTTTCCTGACTTTTTAATGATCGCCATTCTAACTGGTGTGAGATGGTATCTCATTGTGGTTTCGATCTGCATTTCTCTGATGGCCAATGATGGATGAGCATTTTTTCATGTGTCTGTTGGCTCCATAAATGTCTTCTTTTGCAAAGTGTCTGTTCATATCCTTCACTCACTTTTTGATGGGGTTGTTTGATTTTTTTCTTGTAAATTTGGTTAAGTTCTTTGTAGATTCTGGATATTAGCCCTTTGTCAGATGGGTAGATTATAAAAATTTTCTCCCATTCTGTAGGTTGCCTGTTCACTCTGATGGTAGTTTCTTTTGCTGTGCAGAAACTCTTTAGTTTAATTAGATCCCATTTGTCAGTTTTGGCTTTTGTTTCCATTGCTTTTGGTGTTTTAGACATGAAGTCCTTGCCCATGCCTATGTCCTGAATGGTATTGCCTAGGTTTTCTTCTAGGGTTTTTATGGTTTTAGGTCTAACGTTTAAGTCTTTAATCCATCTTGAATTAATTTTTGTATAAGGTGTAAGGAAGGGATCCAGTTTCAGCTTTCTACATATGGCTAACCAGTTTTCCCAGCACCATTTATTAAATAGGGAATCCTTTCCTCATTGCTTGTTTTTGTCAGGTTTGTCAAAGATCAGATGGTTGTAGATGTGTGGTATTATTTCTGAGGGCTCTTTTCTGTTCCATTGGTCTATATCTCTGTTTTGCTACATGTACCATGCTGTTTTGGTTACTGTAAGCCTTGCACTATAGTTTGAAGTCAGGTAGCATGATGCTTCCAGCTTTGTTCTTTTGGCTTAGGATTGTCTTGGCAATGTGGGCTCTTTTTTGGTTCCATATGAACTTTAAAGTAGTTTTTTCCAATTCTGTGAAGAAAGTCATTGGTAGCTTGATAGGGACGGCATTGGATCTATAAATTACCTTGGGCAGTGTGGCCATTTTCATGATATTGATTCTTCCTATCCATGAGCATGGAATGTTCTTCCATTTGTTTGTGTCCTCTTTTATTTCGTTGAGCAGTGGTTTGTAGTTCTCCTTGAAGAGGTCCTTCACATCCCTTGTAAGTTGGATTCCTAGGTATTTTATTCTCTTTGTAGCAATTGTGAATGGGAGTTCACTCATGATTTGGCTCTCTGTCTGTTATTGGTGTATAAGAATGCTTGTGATTTTTGCACATTGATTTTGTATCCTGAGACTTTGCTGAAGTTGCTTATCAGCTTAAGGAGATTTTGGGCTGAGATGATGGGGTTTTCTAAAAATACAATCATGTCATCTGCAAACAGGGACAATTTGACTTCCTCTTTTCCTAATTGAATACCCTTTATTTCCTTCTCCTGCCTGATTGCCCTGGCCAGAACTTCCAACACTATGTTGAATAGGAGTGGTGAGGGAGGGCATCCCTGTCTTGTGCCAGTTTTCAAAGGGAATGCTTCCAGTTTTTGCCCATTCAGTATGATATTGGCTGTGGGTTTGTCATAAATAGCTCTTTTTATTTTGAGATATGTCCCATCAATACCTAATTTATTGAGAGTTTTTAGCATGAAGGGTTGTTGAATTTTGTCAAAGGCCTTTTCTGCATCTATTGAGATAATCATGTGGTTTTTGTCTTTGGTTCTGTTTATATGCAGGATTACGTTTATTGATTTGAGTTTGTTGAACCAGCCTTGCATCCCAGGGATGAAGCCCACTTGATCATGGTGGATAAGCTTTTTGATGTGCTGCTGGATTCGGTTTGCCAGTATTTTATTGAAGATTGTTGCATTGATATTCATCAGGGATATTGGTCTAAAATTCTCTTTTTGTTGTGTCTCTGCCAGGCTTTGGTATCAGGATGATGCTGGCCTCATAAAATGAGTTAGGGAGGATTCCCTCTTTTTCTGTTGATTGGAATAGTTTCAGAAGGAATGGTACCAGCTCCTCCTTGTACCTCTGGTAGGATTTGGCTGTCAATCCATCTGGTCCTGGATTTTTTTTGGTTGGTGGGCTATTAATTATTGCCTCAATTTCAGAGTCTGTTATTGGTCTATTCAGGGATTCAACTTCTTCCTGGTTTAGTCTTGGGAAGGTGTATGTGTCAAGGAATTTATCCATTTCTTCTAGATTTTCTAGTTTATTTGCGTAGAGATGTTTATAGTACTCTCTGATGGTAGTTTGTATTTCTGTGGGATCGGTGGTGATATCCCCTTTGTCATTTTTTATTGCGTCTATTTGATTCTTCTCTCTTTTCTTCTTTATTAGTCTTGCTAGCGGTCTATCAATTTTGTTGATCTTTTCAAAAAACCAGCTCCTGGATTCATTGATTTTTTGAAGGGTTTTTTGTGTCTCTATCTCCTTCTGTTACACTCTGATGTTAGTTATTTCTTGCCTTCTGCTAGCTTTTGAACGTGTTTGCTTTTGCTTCTCTAGTTCTTTCAATTGTGATGTTAGGGTGTCAATTTTAGATCTTTTCTGCTTTCTCTTGTGGGCATTTAGTGCTATAAATTTCCCTCTACACACTGCTTTGAATGTGTCCCAGAGATTCTGGTACGTTGTGTCTTTGTTCTCATTGGTTTCAAAGAACATCTTTATTTCTGCCTTCATTTCGTTATGTACCCAGTAGTCATTCAGGAGCAGGTTGTTCAGTTTCCATGTTGTTGAGCAGTTTTGAGTGAGTTTCTTAATCCTGAGTTCTAGTTTGATTGCACTGTGGTCTGAGAGACAGTTTGTTATAATTTCTGTTCTTTTACATTTGCTGAGGAGTGCTTTACTTCCAACTGTGTGGTCAATTTTGGAATAAGTGTGATGTGGTGCTGAGAAGAATGTATATTCTGTTAATTTGGGGTGGTGAGTTCTGTAGATGTCTATTACGTCCGCTTGGTGCAGAGCTGAGTTCAATTCCTGGATATCCTTGTTAACTTTCTGTCTCGTTGATCTGTCTAATGTTGACAGTGGGGTGTTAAAGCCTCCCATTATTATTATGTGGGAGTCTAACTCTCTTTGAAGGTCTCTAAGGACTTGCTTTGTGAATCTGGGTGCTCCTGTATTGGGTGCGTATGTATTTAGGATAGTTAGCTCTTCTTGTTGAATTGATCCCTTTACCATTATGTAATGGCCTTCTTTGTCTCTTTTGATCTTTGTTGGTTTAAAGTCTGTTTTATCAGAGACTAGGATTGCAATCCCTGCCTTTTTTTGTTTTCCATTTGCTTAGTAGATCTTCCTCCATCCCTTTATTTTGAGCCTGTGTGTGTCTCTGCACGTGAGATGGGTTTCCTGAATACAGCACACTGATGGGTCTTGACTCTTTATCCAATTTGCCAGTCTGTGCCTTTTAATTGGAGCATTTAGCCCATTTACATTTAAAGTTAGTATTGTTATGTGTGAATTTGATCCTGTCATTATGATGTTAGCTGGTTATTTTGCTCGTTAGTTGATGCAGTTCCTTCCTAGCATCGATGGTCTTTAAAACATGGCATGTTTTTGCAGTGGCTGGTATTGGTCATTCCTTTCCATGTTTAGTGCCTCCTTCAGGAGCTCTTTTAGGGCAGGCCTGGTGGTGACAAAATCTCTCAGCATTTGCTTGTCTGTAAAGTATTTTATTTCTCCTTCACTTATGAAGCTTAGTTTGGCTGGATATGAAATTCTGGGTTAAAAATTCTTTTCTTTAAGAATGTTGAATATTTGCTCCCACTCTCTTCTGGCTTGTCGAGTTTCTGCTGAGAGATGAGCTGTTAGTCTGATGGGCTTCCCTTTGTGGGTAACCGGACCTTTCTCTCTGGCTGCCCTTAACATTTTTTCCTTCATTTCAACTTTGGTGAATCTGACAATTATGTGTCTTGGAGTTGCTTTTCTCGAGGAGTATCTTTGTGGCGTTCTCTGTATTTCCTGAATTTGAATGTTGGCCTGCCTTGCTAGATTGGGGAAGTTCTCCTGGATAATATCCTGAAGAGTGCTTTCCAACTTGGTTCCATTCTCCCCGTCACTTTCAGGTACACCAATTAGACGTAGATTTGGTCTTTTCACATAGTCCCATATTTCTTGGAGGCTTTGTTCGTTTCTTTTTATTCTTTTTTCTCTAAACTTCTCTTCATGCTTCATTTCATTCATTTCACGCTGATACCCTTTCTTCCAGTTGATTGCATCAGTTACTGAGGCTTGTGCATTTGTCACGTAGTTCTCGTGCCGTGGTTTTCAGCTCCATCAGGTACTTTAAGGACTTCTCTCCATTGATTATTCTAGTTATCCATTTGTCTAAGTTTTTTTCAAAGTTTTTAACTTCTTTGCCATTGGTTTGAACTTCCTCCTTTAGCTCGGAGTAGTTTGATCTTCTGAAAACTTCTTCTCTCAACTTGTCAAAGTCATTCTCCATCCAGCTTTGTTCCGTTGCTGGTGAGGAGCTGCGTTCCATTGGAGAAGGAGAGAGGCTCTGATTTTTAGAGTTTCCGGTTTTTCTGCTCTGTTTTATCCCCATCTTTGTGGTTTTATCTAGCTTTGGTCTTTGATGATGGTGACGTACAGATGGGGTTTTGGTGTGGATGTCCTTTCTGTTTGTTAGTTTTCCTTCTAACAGTCAGGACCCTCAGCTGCAGATCTGTTGGAGTTTACTGGAGGTCCACTCCAGACCCTGTTTGCCTGGGTGTCAGCAGCGGTGGCTGCAGAACAGCGGATATTAGTGAACCGCAAATGCTGCTGCCTGATTGTTCCTCTGGAAGTTTTGTCTCAGAGGAGTACCCAGCCGTGCGAGGTGTCAGTCCGCCCCTACTGGGGGGTGCCTCCCAGTTAGGCTACTCAGGGGTCAGGGACCCTCTTGAGGAGGCAGTCTGCCCGTTCTCAGATCTCAAACTATGTGCTGGGAGAGCCACTACTCTCTTCAAAGCTGTCAGACAGGGACATTCAAGTCTGCAGAGGTTATTTCGTCTTTTGTTTGTCTGTGCCCTGCCCCCAGAGGTGGAGCCTTCAGAGGCAGGCAGGCTTCCTTGAGCTGTGGTGGGCTCCACCCAGTTTGAGCTTCCTGGAGGCTTTGTTTACCTACTCAAGCTTGAGCAATGGCGGGCGCCCCTCCCCCAGCCTCGCTGCCTCCTTGCAGTTTGATCTCAGACTGCTGTGCTAGCAATGAGTGAGGCTCCGTGGGCATAGGACCCTCCAAGCCAGGTGTGGGATATAATCTCCTGGTGTGCCGTTTGTGAAGCCCATTGGAAAAGCACAGTATTAGGGTGGGAGTGACCCGATATTCCAGGTGCCATTTGTCCCCCCTTTCTTTGACTAGGAAAGGGAATTCCCTGACCCCTTGAACTTCCCGGGTTAGGTGATGCCTCGCCCTGCTTCGGCTCAAGCTCAGTGCACTGAACCCACTGTCCTGCACCAACTGTCCAGCACTCCCCTGTGAGATGAACCTCGTACCTCAGTTGGAAATGCAGAAATCACCTGTCTTCTGTGTCGCTCACGCTGGGAGCTGTAGACTGGAGCTGTTCCTATTCCAATAAAATTGTTCTTTAATCAACACAATTGATAAACCTTTAGCTATTCTGAGCAAGGGAAAAATATAGAGAAAAGACACAAATACCAAAGTTAAGAGTAAAAGATAGGACATCACTACCGACTCTATGGAAGTTAAAAGTATTATAAGGGAATATTATGAATGACTTTATGTCAACAAATTAGACAACTTAAATGGCCAAATTACTAGAAAGATGCAAATTAACGAAACTGATTCAAGAAGAAGGGGAAAATATCAATAGGACAATAATAAATGAAGAAAAGTAATGTGACTAAAATGAATTGGTAATTAGAAATCTTTTCAAAAGGGAAAACCCAGGCCTGGATGGCTTCTTTTAAGGAAGAAAGATTACCAATCCTACAGTATTTTTGGGCGGAAATAAAAAGGAAACAATTTGTAACACATTTTATGAGACCAATATTACTCAGATATCAAAACCAGGCGAACACATCACAAGGAAGGAAAATTGCAGACAAGTATTCTTCATGAACATGTATACAGAATTCCTTAATGAAATATTAGGTAACAGAATCCAGCAACATTTGAGAAGGATTAGGCAACAGAATGAGACCATGCCAATAAAAAAATAAAGAGAAGAAGTCTGGGCATGGTAGCTCACTCCTGTAATCCTAGCACTTTGGGAGGCCGAGGCAGGCAGATTGCTTGAGACCAGGAATTCGAGACCAGCCTGAGCAACATGGTAAAACCCCATCTCTACTAAAAATACAAAAATTAGCTGGGTGTGGTTGTGCATGCCTGTAATCCCAGCTTCTTGGGAGGCAGAGGCACTAGAATTGCTTAAACCTGGGAGGCGGAAGTTGCAGTGAGCCAAGATCTCGTGTTGCTGCACTCCAGCCTGGGCAACAGAGTAAGACTCTGCCTCAAAAAAAAAGAAAAAAGAAAATGATTATATACCATATTCCAGGAGTACGAGGATGGTTTAGTACTCCAAAATCAATTAATGTAATATGCCACTTTAATAACGGAAAACCACGTCGTCATCCTAGTAGACACATAAAATATGTTTGATGAAATGTAACTTTCATTAATGATAAAATTCTCAACACACTAGGCATGGAAGAGAACTTCCTAAATTTCATAAAGAGTATCTACAAAAGACCCACAGCCAACATTATGCTTAATGGTGAAAGACAATGTTTTCTCACACTTCAGTGTGTACTTGAAATTCTAGCTAGGGCAGTAAGGCAAGAAAAATTAAGTTATATTGGAAAGAAAATAACTAAAACTTTATTTGCAGACATAGAAAATCCTAAGTAAGCTGAATAAATTACTAGCACTAATAAACAAGTTTAGCAAGATCACTATTCAGAAATCATATCTATATATGTTAGTAATACTCACCTAAACCAAAATTATAAAAACAATTCCAAGACCAGAAGTGGTGGCTTATGCCTGTAATCCCAGCACTTTGGGAGACTAAGGTGGATGAATTCTGAGGTCAGAATTTCAAGACCAGCCTGGCCAACGTGGCGAAACCCTGTCTCTACTAAAAGTACAAAAATTAGCCAGGTGTGGTGGTGCACACCTGTAATCTCAGCTACTCAGGTGGCTGAGGCACGAGAACTGCTTGAACCCAGGAGGTGGAGGTAGAAGTGAGCCGAGATCGTGCCACTGCACTCCAGCCTGGGTGATAGAGTGATACTCTGTATCAAAAAATAAATAAAAATAAAAATAATTCCATTCCCAGTAGTGTCAGAAAGAATAAAATACATAGCAATAAACTTAGCAAAATAAGTGCAAAATGTGTACACTTCTGAAAGAAACTAAAGATCTAAGTTAAGTTGAGAGATACTCCATGTTCATGTATATTGTTAAGTATATTGTTAAGATAGCAATTTTATCCTAATTAATCTATAGATTCAATGCCCTCCCTACTAAAATCACATCAGGCTTAAAAAAAAATAAATTGACAGGCTGATTCTAAAATGTATATGGAATTCAAAAGTCTTAAAATAGTCAATGCAATTTGGAAAAAGAACAAAGATTAAGGACTTACACTACCCAGTTTTAAAACTTATGAAGCAACAGTAATCACAGCAATGTGCTGTTGGCTTAAGGATAGATAACAGACTAACGAAACAGAATTGGAAGTCCAGGATAAAACCCTTACATTTATGGTCAGTTGACTTTTGACAAAAGCGTCAAGATAATTCAATGGGGGAAATGATAATTTTTTCAACAGATGGTGCTGGGACAATTATACATCCATATGCAAAAAAAATTTGTTATCTCATGCCATGTGCAAAATTTAACTCTAAATGGATCATAGACTTACATATAAGAGCTAAATAAAGTTTCTAGAAAGTGGCAAGGAGAAAATTTTTGTGACTTTGGGTTAGACAGGTATTTCTTGGATATGACAACAAAAACATGATCCACAAGAGAACGGAATTAATAGATTGAACTTCATCAAAATAGAAAAAATTCTGCTCTTCAAAAGGCACCATTAAGTGGAATTAAAAGACAAGTCATAGACTGGGAAAAATATTTGCAAATCTTATATGTAATAGAGGACTTTTATCTGAATATATAAAGAACTCTTATAATTTGATAGTAAGATAATCCAGTTTTTTAAATGGGATAAAAAACATTTAAAAATTAGTATTTATTATGTTTTAACTAAAGAACAGTTTTCTTTATACAATGGCTTATATATACATGAAAAGATGCTTCATAGCATTAGCCTTTAGAGAAATGCAAATTAAAACCACAATGAGATGTCACTACACACCCACTACAATAATACAATAAAAAAGATTGCCAATACCAAGTGTTGGTGAGGGTGAGGAAGAATCAGAACCCTCATACATTGCTCGTGGGAACATAAAATGATACAGTCACTTTGAAAAACAGTTTGGCCATTTCTTAAACAGTTAAAAATATACCTGCAGTTTTATTTCTACATATCCACCCCTATACCCCCAAAACATATGTCTACACAAAGGCTTATTGTGAATGTTCATAGGAGCATTATATGTAATAGGCAAAAACTGGAAACAGTTCAGATGTCTATCAGCTGGTGAGTAGATAACCACAATATGGTATATACATGTAATGGAATATCATTCAGCAATAAAACATAGGCTACTGATACATGCTGCAGATGGATGAACCTTAAAAACATCATATGAAGTGAAAGAAGTCAGACACAAAAGACTAGTATTGTTTGATTCCATTTGTATAAAATTTTTAGGATAGGCAAATCTGTGGAGCCCAGTGATGACCTGGGCTTGAGTCTGTGAGGTGTCAAAGTGGGGACTTGTTGCATATGGGCAGAGAGAACTTTTCTTCTTCTTCTTCTTTTTTTCTTTTTTGAGATGGCCTCACTCTGTCGCCCAGGCTGGAGTGCAGTGGCGCAATCACAGCACACTGCAATCTCAACCTCCTGGGCTCAAGCAGTCCTCCCACCTCAACCTCCCATATCTGGTACCACAGGCATTTGCCACCACACCCAGCTAATTTTTGTATTTTTTGTAGAGACAAGGTTCCACCATGTTGCCTAGGCTGGTCTCAAACTCCTGGGCTCAAGCGATCTGCCTGCCTCAGCCCTCCACATTGCTGAGATTAATGATGTGAGCCACTGCACCCGGCCTAGAAGGGAACTTTTTATGCTGATGGAAATGTTCTGAAACTGGATTGCAGTAATGGTTGCACAACTCTGAATTTTACTAAAAAATCATTGAATACTTAGGGTAAATTTTATTATATACATACTATGCCTCCACAAAAGTATAAAAAAGAAGACACATCGAATACTAATAAAATAAATATAACAAAATACAGTAATTAAAATGTAAAATAACAGAATTTTTCTTACTAGTATCAGTATAGTGATTCTTAAATTATTTTTATTGTAAGATTGAGCAAATGAATAAACGTGAAGTGGTTGAAAAAACCAGGGTTTTCACTGTGGAAGAAGAAAGACACAAATACAGAATGGAGGAAGACAAAGAAGAACCTGTGGGACTTGATCGAGATTTGAAATTAATCAATTTAAACTTAGGATTTCTAGAATATTTCCTACCTCTGTAGCTGAAAGGGTCTAGAAATAGTGGTACCCTAATAGCAATGAAGACACCTAGTGTTCAGTTCATGGTTTCTAAATACCATTCTCTACTAAAAGGAGCTAGTACTCCTTGGTTACTCCTTGGTAAAATGGCTGGCTCTAAGGCTAAGTCAAGAAAGTGAACACAGAGAAAAATAATAATTTTGTAGTGGTGGAGAAGCCTTGTAGACATTACTGAATCAAGTGATCAAAATTAGCATTATCAATAATGAGACAAATCAAAATTGTGTGACTCCTGTTGGGATGCATTGAGAAGAACACAGCATCACTGATGTGATATTCCTGCCAAAGATGTTGTCCTAGTTCAGAGTGCTATAACAAATTACCATGGGCTGGGTGGCTTAAACAACATACTTTTATTTCTCACACTTCTGGAGGCTGAAAATGCAAGATCAGGGTGCCAGGGTGATTCTGTTCTTTGTGAATGCCCTTTTCCTGGTTTACAGAAGGTGGTTTTCTTGCTGTCTCAAATGACAGAAAGAGAGCTAGCTATTCTTTTTATAAGGACACTAACCTCTTTCATGAGGGCTCCACCCTCATGACCTAATTACCTTGCAAAGCTGCCACCTCCAGGCCAGGTGCCATGGCTCACACCTGTAATCCCAGCAGTTTGGGAGGCCAAGGCGGGCAGATCACTTGAGGTCAGGAGTTCAAGACCAGTCTGGCCAACATGGTGAAACCCCATCTCTAATAAAAATACAAAAATTAGCCGGGTGTAATCCCAGCTACTCAGGAGGCTGAGGCAGGAGAATGGCTTGAACCCAGGAGGTGGAGGTTGTGGTGAGCTCAGATTGCATCACTGCACTCCAGCCTGGGCGGCAGAGTGAGACTCCATCTCAAAAAAAAAAAAAAAAGCCACGTCCAAATAGCATCATATTGGATTAGAGTTTCAGTGTATGAATTTTGGGAGGTGACACAGAAAATTCATTCCATTGCAGATCCATAACCTAAATCTAATAATGAGAAATCATTATACATGCCTAAATTGAGAGACATTCTACAAAACAACTGGTCTGTAATCTTCAAAACTGTCATCATTAAAGTCAAGGTAAAACTGAAGAACTGTTCCAGATTGAAGGAGATTAAAGAGACATGCCATTTAAATGCAGTGCCTGATTCTGACCTGAGTCCTTTAGCTATAAAGGACATCAATCTTTTATCTATAAAGGACTTGGAAAAACTTGGATGCTGTTTGAAAATTAGATGATAGTAATGTATTAGTGTGAATTTCCTGATTTTGACCTCAGATTGTGGTTACATAGGAGAATGTCCTTGTTTGTTGGATGACAACTTACTGGAAATACTGTATTTGCAACTTTTCTGTAAGTTTTAGATTGGGGAAATACTAAAAGCATTCCTGTTACAGTCAAAAACAAGAAAAGGACATCTGCTATCTCTTGTTTTGAAGATACCAGCAAATTCAATTAAACAAAAATGCCCAGCCACATCAATTAGGCAAGAGAAAGAAATAAAGGACATCCATATTGGAAAGGAAGAAGTCAAGTTATCCTTGTTTGCAAACAACATGATCTTAAATTTAGAAAAGCCCAAAGACTCCACCAAAAACTCTTAGAACCGACAAATGAATTTAGTAAAATCATAGGACACAAAATCAGCATGCAAAAATCAGGAGTGTTTCTATATGCTAACAGCAATCAGCCTGAAAAAGAAATAAATCAATCTCATTTACAATAGCTACAAAAAATAAAATACCTAGGAATAAATGTAACTAAAGAACAAAGAAGTAAAATATCTCTACAAAGAAAACTATAAGACACCAATGAAAGAAATTAAAGGTGACAAAAAAAAATGAAAGATATCCCATGCTCTGGAATGGAAGAATTAATATTGTTTGAATGTCTGTACTACCCAGAGTGAGTTATAGACTCAATGTAATCCCTATCACAGTACCGGTGATATTTTTCACAGAAATAGAAAAAAAAAAATCCTGAAATTCATATGAATAGCTAAATGATCCTGAGCAAAAAGAAAAAAGAAGGAGGCATCACACTACCTGATTTCAAATTATACTATAAAGCTATAGTAACCAAAACAGTATGGTACTGTAAAAACACACACACAGACCAATGGAACGGAATAGAGAACTCAAGAAGAAATCCATGTACTTCTAGCCAACTCATTTTCAACAACGGTAACAAGAACATCCAATGGGAAAAAGGTAGTCTCTTTAATAAATGATACTGGGGCTGGGCATAGTGGCTCATACCTGTAATTTCAGCACTTTGGGAAGCCAAGGCAAGAGGATTGTTTGAGGCCTGGAGTTCAAGACCAGCCTGGGAAACATAGTGAGACCCCCATCTCTACAAAAAATTAAATATTAGCTGGGCATGGTGGTGTGTGCTTCTGGTCCCAGATACTTGGGAGGCTGAGGTGGAAGGATCACTTGAGCTTAGGAGTTTGAGGCTACAGTGAGCGGTGCGTGTCCCTCTGTACTTCAGCCTGGGCAACAGAGTGGGACCATTCTTAAAAAATAAAAATAAGTAAATAAATCGTGCTGGGAGAACTGGATATCCATGTGCAGAAGAATGAAACTAGATCCCCATCTTTTACCATATAAAAAAATCACCTTAGCTGGGCACGGTGGCTCATACCTGTAATCCCAGCACTTTGAGAGGCTGAGGTGGGCAGATCACAAGGTCAGGAGTTCAAGACCAGCCTGGCCAACATGGGGAAATCCTGTCTCTACTAAAAATACAAAAATCAGCCTGGCGTGGTGGCGGGTGCCTGTAATCCCAGCTGTGCAGGAGGCTGAGGTTGCAGTGAGCCAAGATCGTGCCATTGCACTCCAGCCTGGGTGACAAGAGCAAGACTCCATCTCAAAACAAACAAACAAAAATAGCCACAATATATAAGGAACTCAATAGCAAAAACCAAATAATCCAATTTTTAAAATGAGTGAAAGACCTGAATAAATATTTCTCAAAAGAAGGTACACAGATGGTCAACAGATATTTGAAGAAAAATGCCCAACATCACTAATCATCAAGGAAATGCAAATCAAAACCACAATGAAATACTATCTCACCCCAATTAGGATGGCTATTGCCAAAAGACAAAAAATAACATATGCTGGTAGAATGCAGAGAAAGGGGAACTCACCTACACTGTGGGAATGTAAAGTAGTACCTCCATGATGAAAAACAGTATGGAGGTTCCTCAAAAAATTAAAAATAAAACTACCATATGATCCAGCAATTTCACTGTTGGGTATATATTTAAAAGAAAGAAAATTGTAACATCAAAGAGATATCTGCAATCGGTGTTCCTATGTTTATTGCCTCACTATTCACAAATAGCCAAGGTATGGCATCATCTTAAGTGTCAATCAACGGATGAGTGGATAAAGAAAATGTGGTTATGTACATAGTGGAATATTATTTAGCTATAAAAAAGAATGAAGTCATGTTATTTGCAGCAATGTGATTTGGAACTGGAGGTCATTATATTAAGTGAAATAAGCCAGGCACAGAAAGACAAATATCACATTGTTCTCTCACATGTGGGAGCTAATAAATTGGATCTCATGGAGGTAGAGAGTAGAATCATGGCTATGAGAGGCAGGGAGGGGAAGAGTAGAGGGCAGGATGAAGAGAAGCTGGTTAAGGAGTACAAAAATACAGTTAAAAGGAATAAGTTCTGGTGTTAGTAGTACAGTAGAGAAATTACAGTTAACAATAATGTAGTTCATATCTTAAAACAGCTAGAAGAGTAGAATTGTAATATTCCCAACACAAAGAAAAGATAAATTCTTAGGCTGGCCAGGCTTCAGTCACAACACGGTGGGGCTCCCTGGCTGCGCCCGGCCCGGCAGCTACGGGCCCAGCGCCTGTTGGCGGCGCTGAGGGGTCGCCGAGAGGGGCCCGGCGGCGTCTGCGGGGGCCGCTCCCTCCGTGGGCCGCGGGCGAGGCAGGAGCGCGGGCTCCCCCTGCCTCCGGAGCGCCGGCGGGGGACGGCGGGGCAGGAGATGTGCCTGTCCTTAGCGGCCCAGGAAGCAGCATGCACCCCGATGCGACCGACAGTGGCGGCGCCGGCCTCAGCCCCGCGCGGGCCGCAGGCGCCGGCGGCCGTCCTGTCTCGGGCTTCAGGGGCGAGCGGCGGCCAGAGTCCCCGGGGGACGCCGAGGCAGCAGCGGCGGCGCCGGGGGCCCCGGGCGGCCGGAGCTGGTGGAAGCCCGTGGCGGTGGCCGCACTTGCCACCGTGGCCCTCTCCTTCCTGGGGCCCGGCAGCGGGGAGGCGGCGGGGGCCGCGGGGCTGAGCTCCGTCCTGCTCAGGCTCAGCCTGTACCTGAGCTGCGCTGCGGCCACCTTCCTGCTGGGGACCCTGTTCGCCCTCGTCTGCCGGAGCCCGCGCGCCCCGCCGCCCGACTTTGCCGCCGCCTGGAGCCGGCTGGCCGCGACCTCAGCCGCCCGCCGCCCTCCTGGGAGTCCTGTGTATGGAAACTCACATGAGTCAGCTCAGTTTAGAAGGGTAGTAATTTCTCATAATATGGATAAAGTTCTGAAAGAAGTGTTCGACTACAGTTACAGAGATTGCATTCTGTCCTGGTATGGAAACCTCAGCAGAGATGAGGGACAACTTTACCATGTGCTCTTGGAAGACTTTTGGGAAATTGCCAGACAGCTGCACCACAGACTGAGTCACGTGGATGTGGTTAAAGTTGTCTGCAATGATGTTGTGAGGACTTTACTCACTCATTTCTGTGACCTGAAAGGTGCTAATGCCAGACATGAACAGCCAAGACCTTTTGTGTTGCACGTATGCTTGAGGAACTCAGATGATGAAGTAAGATTTCTACAAACGTGTTCTCGGGTTCTGGTGTTTTGTCTCCTCCCCTCAAAGGATGTGCAGTCTCTCAGTTTACCTATAATGCTTGCAGAAATTCTCACAACAAAAGTCCTGAAGCCGGTAGTGGAGTTACTGAGTAATCCAGATTACATTAACCAAATGCTGCTTGCCCAGCTGGAGTACAGAGAGCAGATGAATGAACATCACAAGAGAGCCTACACCTATAGCCCCTCTTATGAGGACTTCATCAAGCTCATTAACAGCAACTCTGATGTGGAGTTCTTGAAGCAACTAAGGTCTGTTGAAGGAACGGTAGAGAAGAGTGGTAGAAGATGTGTGCTGGTCGTTTTCAACAACTGACTTTTGGGCAAGGTATCAAATTGTAGTGGAAATAATCCAAGCGACTACAATTAGCAGCTTTCCCCAACTGAAGAGGCACAAAGGTAAAGAAACTGCGGCAATGAGGGCTAGGAACATGAAGAGGTACATCAACCAACTGACTGTGGCAAAGAAGCAGTGTGAGAAGAGAATCCGAATCCTGGGAGGCCCTGCCTATGACCAGCAAGAGGTTGGGGCCGTGGATGAGGGGGAAGGGCCTCAAAGCCAGAAGGTAGAACTTTATAGTTTCTTGTTCTGACCCTACCAAGTTTATTATAAATGCTGATAGAACTACATATAAAGACTTTCAACTTAAAAAAAAAAAGAAAAATTTTTGAGGTGATAGATATCCGCTTACCCTGACTTGATAATTATAGATCGTATACATGTATCAAAATATCACATTGTGCATCTACTGATTTGGCAAATAAGCTAATAAAGAAATTTAAAAAGAAACAAAATATCACATATAGTCCCAAAATATGTATAACTATGAAATATCAATTAAAAATATTAAAACTAAATTGAGATATACATTGAAAAGGAGGAATGAAGTTACTATAATTATTAGGATGTGTGTTCTTACACCTAGACAACTCCAGAGAATCAGTTGAAAGTGTATTTCTTTAAAAATTATGGGGGGAGGGTGGAACAAAAAGGCAGAACATAGAGGAATTTGAGGACAATAAAACTATTTTATGTGATAATTGTGATGGTTAATAGTGTCAACTTGACTGGATTAAAGGATGCAAAGTATTGATCTTGGCTGTGTCTGTGAGGGTATTGCCAAAGGAGGTTAACATTTGAGTCAGTGGGCTGTGAAAGATAGACCCACTCTTAATCTGGGTGGGCGCAATCTAATCAGCTGCCAGCAAGGCCAGAATGAAAAGCAGGCACAAGAATGTGAAAAGACTAGACTGACTTAGCCTCCCAGTCTACATCTTTCTCCCATGCTGAATGCTTCCTGCCCTCGAACATTGGAGTCCAACTTCTTCAGTTTTGGGACTCAGACTGGTTTCCTTGCTCCTCAGCTTGCAGATGGGCTATTGTGGGACCTTGTGATCATGTGAGTTAATACTCCTTAGTAATACAACATATACATATGTATATATAAAATAGTATATCCTATTAGTTCTGTCCCTCTAGAGAACCCTAATACAATAATAGAATGGTAGATATATGTCATTCATTATACACTTGTCAAAACCCATAAAATTTACCACTCCAAGAATGAACTGTAATGTAAATTGTGGACTTTGGGTGATGATCATCTGTTAATGCAGGGTCATCGATTATAACATATTCCATTCTCACGCTGGATGTTGATAGTGAGGGAGGCTGTGCATGTATGTGGGCAGGAAGTATATAGGAACTCTGCACTTTCTGCTGTGTGTATTTTGCTGTGAATCTAAAACTTCTCTAAAAAGTAAAGTTTATTTAAAAACTAATAGAATTCAGTTAGATTTCTGTGTGAAAATGTGAATTTGGAAATCAATAATCTTTACATATATTGATACCAGTTAGATTTTATGGAAAAAAATCCTATTTACAGTGGAAATTTTTAAAAGATACATAGGAATAAATTTGAGAAATATGCAAGTTATTATGAATAAAACATTTAAATACTATAATGATACGTGAAATAAATGAAAAGGCATACCATGTTCTTGGACAGGAATACTCTATATCATAAAGAGATCAACTATTTTTAGGTTAAATTTTAATGGCATTTAAATCCACCTTAAAATAAACCACAACATTTTTAGAGTAGAACTGGACAAGATTATTCTAAAGTTCTAGTTAAAAAAAAAAGCAAGAATAGATTGTTCTAATAAGGGGGAGAACTAGCCATACCAGATATTGAAAAATATGAAAAATACAAAGTTAAAATATTGAGGTATTGACACATGGCTACATGGACAGATCAGTGAAATAGCTCAGGGGAAAAAAGCAATACATACAAAATTTGGCATATAAAGTCACCTCAAATCAGTAGGGAAAAGTTGACATATTTAAAAAATAATGTTGAGACAACCAGCTATCTGCAGAAAAATTAAAGCTGAATTCATGCCTCAGCTTTATATTAGGATAGATTCCAGATGGATCAAAGATTTACATGCAAAGAAATGAAACCATAAAAGAATTGAAGAAACCATTGGAAAGTTTTGAAATCTTAATCAGAGATGATTAAGAAATATATATAGAAAGGCTTTCTATATATGTCACAAAGTCCCCAAACCCTGAGATAAACATTGATAGATTGAATACATATGTATCCGAAGCCCAAAGACTCAGCAGTCATACTGCTAGGTATATACTCCAGAGAAACTCATGCATTTTTATATCAGTGTACCTGTACAAGAATGTTCCTGGCAGTGTTGTTCATAATTGTCAAAAAATAGAAGAAACCCAAATATCTATTAACAATAGAAAAGACAGATAAATTATAGTGTAGGTGTGTAGTAAAGAATTTCATCTTGCCCTAAGAGAAGTCTAGCCCTTGCCCTTGACTTCTGGGAATTAATCTGTAAGCCCGATGGTCTCTAAACCCAATGTCATGCTTGATAGGAGTACACTTTGAGCACCCTCTAATTTGAAAATCTGAAATACTTCAAAATCCAAAATTTTTGAACACCAGTATGACACCACAAGTGGAATATTTCACACCTGAGATTGGTTGCAGTCAAAACACAGGGATATGACACAGTTTATTCAGCAAACCCAAGGAAATAAAGACTCCCCCTCCAGCCTACTTTAGCTGCAGTATATCTTTTTTCCAGATTCCCCCATGCAAGCATGTCCACAAAAGACAATAAAATGACATGTGTGCAGGCCACACACACCAAATGGCAGGTTCCCCACAGTGCCCCACATGGGGCCAAGACCTACGTGCATGACTCACTCTGGTTTTGTTTTGTTTTGCTTATTCTCTGTGGTGTAAAGATACTGTTACAAATGCCAAAAAGGCCTGCAGATACCCTTATGGGTAATAGTAATAAGAAAAATGAAGCATTTGTGTTTATATATAACAGAGAAAGTCAAGCGGCTGGAGAAACTGGACAGTGGTGTAAATGTGAAATGTCTTACAAAAGAATAGGGTGTTGGGATCATTATATATATGACCTGAAGAAACAGAAACATGAACTGTTGAAGTTCTATGTTGAAAGGATAAAGAGAAGTCAGTGAGAAAAAAGAAAAAAAAAAAAAAACTGCATAAAGCTGAAAATGGAAGTCTCAATTGTGTATTGAAAGAGTGGATCTGCCAGCATTGCAGTTAGTGGTTTGCTGGTCATGAAACAAAGATGTATAATAATGAACTGAAAATTGAAGGGAACTGTGAATGTTCAACAGGTAATTGCAGAAATGTTCAAGAAGACATGGCATTAAACTTTTAAAGATTTGTGGTGATAAAACATCTCCATGAAGCAGTGGAGAAATTTATTGGTGAGTTTGCCAAAATCATTGCTGATGAAATCTGATGCCAGAGCAAGTCTGTAATGTAGATGAAATATCACTGTTTTGGCACTATTGCCCTGGAAAGACAGTGACTACAGCTGATGACACAGCCCCTATAGAATTAAGGATGTCAAAGACAGGATAACTGCTGATATGGGCTAATGCAGTAAGCACACATTAAGTGTAAACTTGCTGTGATAGGCAAAAGCTGTGTCGTTGCTGCTTTCAGTAGGTGAATTTCTTTTATGTCCATCGTTATGCTAACAAAATAGCTTGAATCACCAGGAACATCTTTTCTGATAGGTTTCACAAAAATTGTATACTAGTGGCTCAGGCTGATAGCACAGAAGCTGCACTGGGTGATGACTACAAGATTTTTAAAAATTCCTTGACAACTGTTCTGCTTATACTCTAGCTGAAGTTCTCATAAAAAATAATGTTTATGTCATGTACTTTCCCCTGAATGTGACTATTAATTCAGCCATGTGACAAGTGTGTCCTTAGATCAATGAAGAGTAAATATAAAAACGTTTTCTTGAATTGCATGCAACAGCAGTGAACAGGGGCATGGCCGTGGAAGGATTTTCAGGAGTTTAGGATGAGGTTTACCATCTATGCTGTTGCCAGCACTTGGAGCACAGTGATTAAAGACAAATTTGTGCATGCTTGGCACAACCTCTGGCCTGCGACTGTGTTCAGTGATGATGAACAAGATGGTGACTTTGAAGAGTTCCATATGTCAAATGAGAAAAAATGATGTCTGGCCTGCTTATATATGAAAGAAAATACTCCTTCAGAGTCCTGAAAGCTAGAAAATGGGTACTGAAGTTTTTAACATTGATAATGAGACTCCAGTTGTTCATTCATTGACCAGGGATGAAATAGCTGAAATGGTTCTGAGTCAAGGTGATCATGAAAATGGTGACAATGAAGATGAATATTGTTAACACTGTAGAAAAAGTACCTAAAGACAACATGATTGTCTAGGCCTGTTTGTGTTGCTATAAAGGAGTGCCTGAGGCTGGTTAATTTATAAAGAAAAGAAGTTTACTTTGGCCTGGCGCAGTGGCTCACACCTGTAATCCCAGTACTTCAGGAGGCTGAGGCAGAAGGATTGCTTGAGCCCAGGAGTTTGAGAATGGCTTGGGCAATGTAGCAAGAACCGCGTCTCTACAAAAATTTTAATAATTAGCCAGGCCTGGTGGCACATGCCTATAGTCTCAGCTACTCAGGAGGCTGAAGCAGGAGGATCTCTTGTGGTCAGAAGTTCAAGGCTGTAGTGAGCTATGATTGTGCCACTGCACTCAGCCTGGGCAACAGAGTGAGACCCTGTCTCTAAAAAAAAAAGAAAAGAGGTTTATTTGGTTTATGGTTCTGCAGGCTGCACAAGAATGGCGCCAGTATCTGCTTCTGGCAAGAGACTGAGGCTGCTTCCACTCATGGCAGAAGGTGAAGGGGCGCCTGCAACTGCAGATCTCATGGTGAGAGAGAAGGCAAGAGAGAGAGGAAGAGGTACCAGGCTCTTTCAACAACCAGTTCTAGGTGAACTGTTGTGGGAACTAATAGAGTTAGAACTCACTCATTACTGAGAGAATGGCACCAAGACATTCATGAAGGATCTGCCCCCATGATCCAAACACCCCATTAGGCCCCACTTCCAACATTGGGGATCAGATTTCAACATGAGGTTTGGAGAGTCAAATATCCAAACGATAGCAATGGTGAAAATGTGTGCTGGGCTTATTGAAGGAATAGAACAGTGTACATTTATAAAAGAACAAGAAATCATCACAGTTTATAATGTCTAAGAGAGAGTTCTAAATCAAAAGCATTGTTAATGAGGCAGATGACTCTGGAGGAAACATTTTAAAAAGCCATCCAGCAGAAAGCCTTCTTATCCTTAGAAGACCCACTTCTTGGTCTCTCACCTGCTTCTGATAACTTAGAAAAATGGTGTATAGTAACCTTTTAATCAAAACACAGCATGATAGGTGGGGACTGAAAGCCTGCCATTGTTTGTTGTTGCTGTTGTTTCACAGCTGATACAGGTATTCTGGTGGTGCTACTGTGCTGCTTAGTTACCCTGAATGCATTATTTTTTCACTGTATTACTGGTATGTCATATTTTTTGCTGTTACGTACTTTTGTGTGAATAAGTATAGGAAAAGGATTCCTTATCAGTAGCAAATAAATAAATTCAGAGTCAGGAATGATGGTGATGCCCATCAACCACAGATTACCCACATGGGTAGTGGTTGAGGTAGTGACACCTTTGTTTTCTGGTGGTATGATGCATGCAAATTTTATTTTATGCACAAAATTATTAAAAATTATTGCATAGGTCAGGCACGATGGATTATGCCTGTAATCCCAGCACTTTGGGAAGCCGAGGCAGGTGGACCTTTTGAGGTCAGGAGTTCTAGACCAGCCTGGCCAACATGGTGAAACCTCATCTCTACCAAAAATACAAAAATTAGCCAGGCATGGTAGTACGCGCCTATAATCCCAGCTACTCTGGAGGCTGAGGCACAAGAATCTCTTGAATCCGGGAGGCAGAGGTTGCAGTGAGCCAAGATCGTGCCACTGCACTCCAGTGTGGGTGACAGAGCAAGACTCTGTCTCAAAAAATTATTGGCTGGGTGTGGTGGCTGACACCTGTAATCCCAGCACTTTGGGAGGCCAAGGTGGGTGGATCACAGGAGTTTGAGACCAGCGTGGCCAACATGGTGAAATCTTGTCTCTGCTAAAAATACAAAAATTAGCTGGGCGTGGTGGAGCGTGCCTATAATCCCAGCTACTTGGGAGGCTAAGGCCACAAGAATTGCTTCAACCTAGGTGGTGGAGGTTGCAGCGAGCCGAGATCCCACCACTGCACTCCAGCCTGGGTAGTAGAGCGAGACTCTGTCTCAAAAAAAAAAAAAAAATTATTGTATAAAATTATCTTCTGGCTATGTGTTTAAGGTATATGTGAAATATAAACTAAGTTTATTAATTAATTTATTTGTTTTGAGACAGGATCTGTCTCTGTCACCCAGGCTGAAGTGTAGTGATGCAATCCTAGTTCACTGCAGCCTTGAACTACTGGGCTCAGTTGATCCTCCCACCTCAGCTTCCTGAGTAGCTGGAACCACAGGTGCATGCTACTGCACCTGGCTAATTTTTAATTTTTTTTTTCTAGAGACATGATCTCTCTATGTTGCACAGGCTGGTCTCAAACTCCTGGCCTCAAGGGATCCTCCTGCCTCAGCATCCTGAGTAGCTGGGATTACAGGCATGAGCCACTGCGACCAGCCTTGAATTTTGTTTTTAGAACTTGGGTCCTATCCTTAAGATATCTCATTCTGTATATGTGAATATTCCAAAATCACAAAATATTTAAGATTAGAAATACTTCTGGTCCCAGGAATTTTGGATAAAGAATACTCAACTTGTATCTTTGTTTGCCTGGAGGCCTTGGGTGATGTGATTTACGATAGGGCTGGCCACACCAGATAGTCTAAAAATGTGATTTAGGATGGGGAAAAAATCAATTTTAAAAGGTCTTACAACCCAGTAGACAAATGTGCAGAAGATATGACCAGACAGCTCACAAAAGGAAGATATAAATGCCTCTTAAATTTATTTAAAGATGCCCAAACTTACTCGTGGTAACAAAAATGAAGATTTTAATTAAACATGTCATTTTTCACCTATCTAATTAGTTAAAAGATTCAAAAGTTTGTTATCACATCATGTGATAACATGGGGAACAAGGTTCGGGGAAGTGTAGGTCCTTTCTGCTGATGGGAAAGAACATTGATTCAGCGTCAGTGGAGGGCAGTATGACAATATCTATTAAAATTAGGAATATATATAATCCAGAGTCCTCAATTACACTTCTAGTAATTTATTCACACACCTTTAAAACCACCTTTACAGGTTATTTGTAGCAATATTGTATGTAAAAGATTGGAAACAACATAAATGTCCATCTGCAGTAGGCTGATTAAATTCTGGAATCTCTATACAGTGGAATATATTGCAATCAAAAAATACTAAGTAATCCTTTGCTTACTGATTAGGAATGGCCTTCAAGTTATAGCCACACAGGATGGTGTGTAAAAATATGTTACCATTTATGGAAGTAGTGGTGTTGAAGGGAAGAACATATATATTTAGTTGCCTATAAATGCATACAAGTATCTTTGGAAAGATATGCAAAAAAATTGTAAGATTTCTTGTTATCTTTGGGAAATATTATGGTCTAAATGTGTTTCTCCAAAATTCATATGCTGAAATTCTAATCCCCCAATGATATATTAGATGGTGGGGACTTTGGGAGGTAATTAGATTTAGATGAGATCATGAGATTAGATACCCCATGATGGGATTAGTGCTCTTATAACAAGAAGAAGAGGCCAGGCGTGGTGGCTCACCCTTGTAATTCCAGCACTTTGGCAGGCTGAGGCAGGCAGATCACTTGAGGTCAGGAGTTCGAGACCAGCCTGGCCAACATAGTAAAACCCCGACCCTACTAAAAATACAAAAATTGACGGAGCGTGGTAGTGCACACCTGTAATCCCAGCTACTTGGGAGGCTGAGGCAGGAAAATTGATTGAACCCAGGAGATGGAGGTTGCGGTGAGCCGAGATTGTACTACTGCACTCCAGCTTGGGTGAAAGAGTGAGACTCCGTCTCAAGAAAAAAAAAAATTAAGAAGACGACGAGATATTAGAGCTTCCTCTCTCAACTCTGTGGGAATACCATGATAAGAGGTAGTCTGGAGACCAGGAAGTGGGCCCTAACCAGACATTGAATCTGATGACAACCTAATCTTGGGCTTCCAAATTTCTAGAACTGTGAGAAATGTCTGTTGTTTAAGCCACCCACCTGTGGCATTTTGTTATAACAACCGTAAGTGTCTTAAGGGAAAATTTAGATGGCTGGTTGACAGGTGGAAAGGAGATGTTTTGCTATTTAAATTTTGGGCCATGAATATAATCACTACTAAAAAATAAGGTCTGTGTCTTTTTTTATTGAAGCAATCATTAATATGTTTTCTTTTGTTTTAAGGACAAAATATGAAACACCAAGAAAAAGAGAAGGAAAAAAAGGAGGAAACAACCACATATGTCACCTTTCCAAGGTATCATGTGTTTCATGTTTAAGAAATTTATTTTGCAGTACTTTTGGTAGTCGGTTTACTTTTTTTTTTTTTTTTTTTTTGAGATAGGGTCTCACTCTGTCGCCCAGGCTAAAGTACAGTGACACGATCACAGCTCACTGCAGCCTCGACCTCCCTGGGCTCAGGCAATTCTCCCACCTCAGCCTCCTGATTAGCTGGGACTACAGGTGTGTGCCATCACATCTGGCTATTTTTTGTAGACGTGGGGGTTTGCCGTGTTGCTCAGGCTGGTCTCGAACTGGGCTCAAGAAATCCTCCTGCCTCGGCCTCCCAAAGTGCTGGGATTAGAGGCATGAGCCATCACACCCAGCCTGGTTTACAAATCACAGTGTACGACATGTTAAGGAAAATATTATGCGTATAATTTTTCTTGTTGGTTATATAAACTGCATACTTTAAAATTTAGATATATATTGTCATCTCTTAAATATATCAAGAATAGTAGCAATCCCACATATTTCAAAGCATTAAAAATTGCCAATTGGATTTTATCTCTGTACCCTGAGATGACATTCAGTGAACAGGTGTCTCTTTCAAAGTTTATTTTTGAAAATATGTATTAACATAGCATAGTTTCATATAGTGTTCTTGAAGTCACATGATATAATTAAAATACAGAATTACAATATCCTTAGAAAAAACATTTATTGAAAATAACAAATGGGCCAGGCATGGTGGCCTGTAATCCCACCACTTTGAGAGGCCAAGCCGGGAGCACTGCTTGAGGCAAGGAGTTCAGATCAGCCTGGACAGCATACTGAGACTCCATCTCTATAAAAAAATTTTTAAATTAGCCAGGTGTGATGGTATGCATCTATAGTTCTAGCTACTCAGGAGACTGGAGTGAGAGGATAGTTTGGGCCCAGGAGTTCGAAGTTACAGTGAACTGTGATCACACCACTGCACTCAGAGTGAGACCCTGTCTCACAACAAAAAAAATTTTTTTTTTTTTGAGACGGAGTCTTGCTCTGTTGCATAGGCTGGAGTGCAGTGGCATGATCTCTGCTCACTGCAACCTCTGCCTCCCAGGTTCAAGTGATTCTCCTGTCTCAGGCTCCCGAGTAGCTGGGACTACAAGTGCATGCCACCATGCCTGGCTAATTTTTGCATTTTTAGTAGAGATGGGGTTTCACCACATTGGTCAGGCTGATCTCAAACTCCTGACCTCAGGTGATCCACCTGCCTTGGCCTCCCAAAATGCTGGGATTACAGGCATGAGCAACTGCGACTTGCCAAAAAAAAAATTTTTTTTAAGTAAAAATGTCCTGTGACTCTCAAATATGATCAAAATGACAAAGTTGGTTTTCATCTTGTATGGAATATTTAGGATACTATCTGCCCTAACAAATCAGGTGCTTTACAAATACATTTAGAAATTGCTTTAACTTGACTTGGTGTGCTGGCTTACACCTGTAATCCTAACGTGGTGGCAGACACCTGTAATCCCAGCTGTTCGGGAGGTTGAGGCAGGAGAATGGCTTGAACCCAGGAGGTGGAGGTTGCAGTGAGCCGAGATCGTGCCATTGCACTCCAGCCTGGGCACCAACAGCAAAACTCCATCTCAAAAAAGAAAAAAAATTACTTTAACTTGCTTAATATGGTATCTGAACTTGAACACTTCATGTCTGTATTTGTGACTATGCTTCTTATTTTATATTTATTCACGCTTTTTTTTCTATGGACTCCAAGAAGGCAGAAGCTAATAGAAAATAAATACTTCCCTAAGGGTACAATTCCATGGGTGCCCAGAGCAATTATTAATCTGTTTCAGATTGGTAGATCATGTAGTCCTCCCCAAAGGAGATGGCGGTATTTGAATCAAATCTTAAAGGATGAGTAAATTTTACTAGGCAGAAAAAAGGGTAAAGAGCATTCCAGGCTGAGGGAAAAGCATTAGCAAAGGTAAAGAGGAACAAAAGTTCATTTTGGATCAGGATATTTGCAGTTGAAACTGGAACATAAGATGAGAAGTGGCATGTAGTAAGAAATTAGACCAAAGTAGTAGTTTGGAACTAGTTTGGATTTTACTCTGTAGGCATTGGGAACATTTGAACATCTTAAAACAGAAATGACATTTTCTAACCTTTGTTCTAGGAATATAATTCAATATCAGAATGATTTGGAAGGAAAAAACCTACAGGAAGCTATTGTAGCCTAGTGAGGAAGATAAATATTAATACAGCCAATTTATAGATCAGACTAAAGACAATGATTGGGGCATTGAAAAGAACAGATAGAAGAAATATTGCAAAGGTAAAATCTGTATGACCTAGTAACTGGATATAGAAAGTCTGGAAGACATAGTTTTATAGAAATGCATTGTTTTAATGGGATAAATCTTATTAAAGGATCATCCTAAATGGTTTTTTAATACTGTGCACAAAGTTCCCAAATTTAAAGCATACAAATTTTGGAAATTAAAAGTTTTGCAAAATGGATGATTCCTTTAAAATAAGTATAATAAAGATTGATGGACTTCAGGCAGACTTGGCAGGATACAAGTTTTCATACTCAGTAGAGGACTCTTGTAAGTCATAGGTACCCTATAGTGTTATAATATCAACCCACCTTGGTGTGATTGGTGTCCTTATTTGCCACATAATCAACTAGTCAAATTGTAGAAGAGGAATAATCTGGTTAATAAATAATTAAACCTTATCAGATTCTAAAATTAATATTTGACAGATAAAGGATTTAAATATACTTAACTTTATAAATACCATCAGATATTTTTCCTAGGAAAAAGGTAATATGGTTGTTGCTGATGGTATTTATAAAGTTAAGTATAGTTAACACTTCAACAACATGGTTTGAACTTCAGGAGTCCACTTACATGTAAATTTATTTCAACCAAATGTGGATTGACAATACAGTATTTGTGGGATGCAAAACCTGCATATACTGAGGGCCAACTTTTTGTCAGCTGGTTCCACAAGGCTAACTGTGAGACTTGAGTATGCGTGAATTTTGGTATATGTGGAGGTCCTGGAACCAAACTTCCATGTCGACTGAGGCACAACCGTATCTCAAAATAAACATTGCATTGTGTTTTTACAGTTCTTCTATACTCTATAAAAACATTTCATTTGTGTTTAGTACACACTTGAACTAAAATTTCTAAGTAATTCCTACATTGCAAATGTTTGTTTTGTAGTAAATTGGAGGTAAATAGAGTCATTTGCTTGGAAAATTTTCTTGGAGGCCACAAATCCAGTGTCTAATGCAAGCAATGTCTAATGCAAGCATTCTGTCATAAACTGTTTCATTAGGATGGGGCACTCTACTATATAATTGATAGGCTGGGATTTGCCACCCAACTGACCAACTATTACAAGGATTTGGATAATTATAAATTACTTTTCTTCCTTTAAAATCTCCAGCACAGGCTGGGCCCAGTGGCACACGCCTGTAATCCCATCACTTTAGGAGGCTGAGGTGGGTGGATCACTTGAGGTCAGGAGTTCAAGACCAGCCTGGCTAACATGGTGAAACCCTGTCTCTACTAAAAATACAGAAATTACTGGGTATGGTGGTGCATGCTTGTAATTCCAGCTACTCGGGAGGCTGAGGCGTGAGAATCGCTTGAACCTGGGAGGTGGAGGTTGCAGTGAGTCTAGATGGCACCACTGCCATCCTGGGCAGCCTAGGTGACAGAGCAAGACTCCATCTCAGAAAAAAAAAAGAAAGAAAGAAAATCTCCAGCATATAACAATTGTGGATAATGTCAGGGCTGAATCAGTGGATGTCATCTAATAATAATAATAATAATAATAATAATAATAATAATAATAATAAAGCTTTTAATTTCTCAGTGCTTAGTATTGACCTGCTTCTTCTCCAGAATTCTTCATATTAGTAGATTTACAACCCAAGCCTGATCTGGGGATCATTCTTGATTATTCTCTCTCACCATTCCCCTGCCATTACTACCACACATGCATTTTTAGTGACAGTTATTATAGGTTTGGTCTCTTGAAAGCTCTTGTTTTTCTTTTTAGCTTACAAAGACTAAAAAGTGAATCTTCAAATTCCCAGCCTCCCTTACAGCTAGTAATAGCCATTTAGCACAATTTCTGGCCCCAGTGATACAAGGTAAAATTCTTGTAATCTTAGAAACATTATTCTTTTTTTTGAGACGGAGTCTTGTTCTGTCACCCAGGCTGGAATGCAATGGCACGATAGTGGCTCACTGTGACCTCTGCTGCCTGAGTTCAAGCGATTCTCCTGCCTCAGCCTCCCAAGTAGCTGGGATTACAGGCACCTGCCACAATGCCCAGCTAATTTTTGTATTTTTAGTAGAGACGGGGTTTCACCATCTTGGCCAGGCTGGTCTTGAACTCCTGACCTCCTGATCCACCTGCCCTCTGCCTCCCAAAGTGCAGGGATTACAGGCATGAACCACTGCATAGAAACATAATTCTAAGATGAGAGTTAAATAGGTTCAAATTAGAATACAATAGATTGGGGGCATGTGCCCAAGTTTCATTTAACTCAGTGAGGGAACCAGTAGGATGAAAAAGTTAGTTGAAATGATAATATTAAAGACTTGGTTATTGTTTTTTATAATGAATGGGGGAAAAAGGAATGCTGAGATAAGATTGCTAAATTAGATACAAAACTAGTCAGTTCTATAGGGCAATGAAAGTATAATCTTTAAAATTACCCTTTCTACTGGTCAGAAAAGAGAATTGTCACACTTCATCCATTTTATTTGTTAGCCTCTAGCTATAAAATTGTTTGTTATGTAGATATGTGAGCTCCAAGCCATAGTGAATACAGTGTGCAACAAAATTACTTTCCCTGGAGAATTAGATGACTGTTAGGCAGCCTTTTTAAACAGTGCCCTAACATGACATTAAAAGGTCATGCAGCTATCGCTTAACCTTATTTCCAAGTTTTGAATGTTCTCCTTGATAGCTGCAATAATGAATAACTCTGAACTTTACTCAGAGTTAAAGCTTTTTCCCTTCCTAGCATTAGTCTGGCTACCTGCAATGGCAGAGAGCTCTTCTTTCCTCTTGCACTAGACCAGAATAAAGGGGTACAAAAACAAAACCTCCCTTCACTCTCTGCCAAGCTGTGGTTGGGGTCTAGCAATCTAGGCAGCAGAATTAACAGCAGAATTAACAGCAGGATGGCATCAGATACTACTGGATAATGTTAACTATGCTGAAGAACAAATATGCTTATATGCTAAATACCAGACTGTAATGTTGTGGTGATTTCTGGGAAAAAGGAAAACTATAATAAAGTGAGAATAAATAAAATGAAAAAAATTTTTAAGAGAAAAAAGGATAAAGATACAATAGGAATTAACATTTAATATGTGCAAAGTATTGTATCCCATTATAAACTGTTGTACCTCCCTAAAATATGTGGCCAGTTGTACAATCTAAGATAACTCTAAAATATTACTTGGTAATTGGAATTGGATTTTATTTTTGTGAATTAAAAACTCACTAATGAGCCTCACCCTCACAAAATTTCCACAAAACTAAGTACTTGGTTGATTTGAAATAATTTAAGGTTAAAAGTTGCTAAACATTCCAACCTTCAAAATAAGTATTCAAAATTTGCAAATCCAAGAAATTTACTGTCAGTTATTTTCATTTCCACTCAGTCTTTATAAATCCTTGTTTGTGTTTTTTCCACATAGAATAACCTCTTACCATTTGAAATTTAGATTGTTATAGTTGAAGTTTATTTTTCTCCCCATTTTTTAGGCCACAGGAAATGGAGTCTGAAATAAAGCCACTGTATCTAAAACATTTATTTAATGGTAAAACTTGATGATTAATAGTATTATTAGCGTTTTAAAGACTATATGTTTAGAGTTTGAAGTAAAGCTCCAGTGTTAATTTAACTTACTTTTCAAGGCTTAACGTGTTCTCATCTAAAAACAATGATGTCCAAAATTTCTGTTTTCTACTGTAAGTATTATGTATAATAAAATAGGTAGTAAATCTATTCTAATGTGTTCTACTTATTGTCTGCAGAGGGACTGAAACTGGGCTGACCCTTTTGATTTCCAAGCTCAGCGTTTTGGTGTAAGGCGGCCAAAGAAGGATGCGGAGCCCAGCACTGTGAAGCCTACAAAAACATTGATGCGCTGGCTTGGGGATTTGAATTTGAACATCTTTCACACTAAGTTCAGACTCATGAAACCAATCTTCAGATGCTCTGTAAACCACATAATAAAGAGTTTGGAAATTATATTTTGTTTTTGAAGGCCCACGTGCAAAACTTGAGAGCCTCAAGTCCAAGCCAGTTGTGGCAATTCTAGCCTACTTTTTTTTTATATTCAAGTGTGTTGTAGGGAAGGAGGAGAATAAGTCTGCTTTCTTGAATATTATGCCTAATTAATTACGTATAAAATACTTTTACCAAAGTTCTATGCAAGGTAGAAGACTTACAGATGGCATGAAAAAGATAAAGTCTTTTCCATGTTTTTTTTTTTTTTTTTTTTTTTTTTTGAGACAGAGTTTCACTCTGGTCGCCCAGGCTGGAGTGCAGTGGGCCAGTGTCGCCTCACGGCAACCTCCGCCTCCCAGGTTCAAGTGCTTCTCCTGCCTCAGCCTCCTGAGTATCTGGGACTACAGGTCCATGCCACCACACCCAGCTGATTTTGTATTTCTAGTAGAGACATGGTTTCGCTATTTTGTCCAGGCTGCTCTCGAACTCCTGACCTCAGGTTATCTGTTCCCCACGGCATCCCAAAGTGCTGGGATTACAGGCGTGAACTACCGTGCTTGGCCTCTGTGTACTTCTTTTTTGTTGTTATTGTTTTTGAGATGGAGTTTCACTCTTGTCATACAGGCTGGAGTGCAGTGGCGCCATCTCAGCTCACTGCAACCTCTGTCTCCTGGGTTCAAGCGATTCTCATGCCTCAGCCTCCCAAGTAGCTGGGATTACAGGTGTGCACCACCACGCCCAGCTAATTTTTGTATTTTTAGTAAAGACAGGGTTTCACCATGTTGGCCAGGCTGGTCTCGAACTCCTAACCTCAGGTGATCTACCCACTTCAGTCTCCCAAAGCGCTGGGATTACAGGTGTGAGCCACCGTACCTGGCCCATGTACTTCTTACTTAGTTTTTCTTCCCGCGTCTTATGTTTACATTTGCAATTATGTCTTCTTCTTTCAACAAATATTACAGGTTTTCATAATCTCAAATATTTGTTTTTAGAGCATGATGTAATGTTCCTTTGCATTAGGTACACTGATTGTGGGTTTCCAACAAAAAGTTTTCAGGTCTAAAAATGATCACATCATGCAGTATACCCAGGAATCAAACCTGCACATCTATCCCCTAAGTCTAAAAATGAAAGTTGAAAAAAATAAAAATTATATAAGAAAAAAATTATCACAGTGTTTTATAAAATAAGAAAGCAGACCACGCGTGGTGACTGAGGCTTGTAATCCCAGCACTTTAGGAGGCCAAGGCAGGCGGATTGCTTTAGCTCAGGAGTTTGAGGCCAGCCTGGCCGAAATGGTGAAACTCTGTCTCTACAAACACACACACACACACACGGTGAAACTCTGTCTCTACAAACACACACACACACACACACACACACACACAAATTTAGCCAGGCATGGTGGCACATGCCTGTAGTCCCAGCTACTCGGGAGGCTGAGGTGGGAGGATTGCTTGAGCTTGGGAGGCAGAGGCTGCGGTGAGCGAAGATCACACCACTGCACTCCAGCCTGGGCGCCAGAGCAAGACTCTGTCTACAAAAAACAACAAACAGAAACAGCAATTTGCCAGGTAAGCCTTTTATGTTGCCTTTGATAGTTTTATAGATCCTTGGGATTTTTGCTCACTTAGGTTTATGATTGAATGTGTATCCCATCTAACTGTGTACTTGATATTTGCTTTTAAAACAAACTCCTGTTAGAAGTAAATGTTGAAAGAGAGGGCTAGGTTGTTTTTTTTATATTCATTCAGTCATTGATTCATTTATTTATTTATTCAGGGTCTTGGCTGTGTTACCTAGGCTGGAGTGTGAGAGTATGATCATGGCTCACTGCAGCCTAGACCTCTTGGATTCAAATGATGCTCCCACTTCAGCCTCCCAAGTAGCTGGGACCACAGGTGCACACCACCATGTCCAGCTAATTTTTAGATTTTTTTGTAGAGACATGGTCTTTCTGTGTTGCCCCGGCTGGTCTCGTACTCCTGGCTTCAAGCAATGGCCCCACCTTGGCCTCCCAAAATGAAGATTACAAGTGTGAGCCACTGTGCCTAATTGATTTTTTTATTGGAAATTTTGATACTGTTACGTTGTCACTGAGGCAGACAACTTAAAAATAATCTTGAGTATCATTCTGTGCCGATGTTAGAATTTAATATGCTGTTCGTAGGCCAGGCTCAGTAGCTCACGCCTGTAATCTCAGCACTTTGGGACGCCAAAAGCAGGAGGATCTCTTGAGCCCCCAGGAGTTTGAGACAAGCCTGGGCAGCATAAAGAGACCCCCATCTCTAAAAAAAAAAAAATAGAAAAATTAGCCAGACATGATGATGCCAACCTGTAGTCCTGGCTACTTGGGAAGCTGAGGTAGGAGGATCGCTTGAGCCCAGGAATTTGAGGCTGCAGTGAACTATGATTACACCACTGTACTCCAGCCAGGGTGACAGAGCAAGACCCTATCTCTAAAACTATTTTTAAAAATAAAACAATATGTTGTTCATATTATCCTAATGTAGTGTTTTACTGAATAGAATTCCTTAAAGGATTCTTTTCCCCAAGGATATTAACTCAAGGTAAATTATAATAGGATTGCAGATAAATTAAGCATCTTTATCTTTGATTACAGAGATATTTAGCATATGACTATAGATAATTTCCCCTTCATATTTTCTTGGGCTTCTAGTATTTATGTATCAAGAAAATTATTTCCTTATGTTTGAAATGGTGACATTTCTGAAATGTACCAGCAGAGGATACAGGGATTTTTGTTTGTTTTTCATTTTCTTATTTACTGAAGAAATAAAGGCATTTTAGTTTATAAATGGACTGTTTCTTTTTTCCAGGAAAACTAATATTCATAATTATGGGAAAACCGTGGTCTCTTCAAAAGGGCATAATAAAATGTAGATATTAGACATTATTTCAAATCGTTTTTTGTTATTTGTAGATTAATTAAAACAGTAACCATACCTCTGGAAGACAGAATAACAGAAGTAGTTTGACTAAATGGAGTTTGAAGTAGTGCATTACTTCTCTGGATTTGTTCTTAATTTCAAGCTTGTATTTATCCATATGAATAGTACTTTTGATGGATCAAATTATGAATAAAACTCTCACTTTCGAGAGGTATAATGCTTTCTGGGATAAAAGTTAAATCTACTGAAAGAATCATGTAAACAAAATCAAAAGCAAGAGGTAATTTAATGGAGAAGAATTTTAAAAAGATTTAAAATATGTTCTGGTGGAAAACACTGTGGACCACAGTAAGGAGACCTGCGTTCTCATGCCAATTTGTTCCTCCCAAGCTGTTTTCCTCTCCATTTTCTTCATCAGCTGAGCTTCCTGATACCAGGAAGCTGATGAAGCTTAAGCTTCAGGGCCCCTGCCAAGGCCCTGGGAGGGTCCCTAGCATGGGGCTTACATGGTCATATGCTTTTGTAACACCAAGGTGCAGGGCCAGAGGTCTTACCACAATGTGAATCTGTCCTAGGTTGCCTGGCATTGGAAGTTAAATGGGTATTAGAGGAGAAACAGGGTTTGAAATGTATAGAGCTGGCCGGGCGCAGTGGCTCATGCCTGTAAACCCAGCACTTTGGGAGGCAGAGGCAGGCAGATCACTTGAGGTCAGCAATTCAAGACCAGCCTGGCCAACATGGTGAAACCCTGTCTCTACTAAAAATACAAAAATTAGCCAGGCATGGTGGTGTGCGCCTGTAGTCCTGGCTACTTGGGAAGCTGAGATAGGAGAATTGCTTGAACCTGAGAGGTGGAGGTTGCAGTGAGCCGAGATCATGCCACTGCCCTGCAGCCTGGGTGACAGAGTGAGACCCTGTCTCAAAAAAAAAAAAAAAAAAGTAAAAGTACCTAGTAGAACGTAATCTGTAGAAAATGTCAAATAATCAGATACGAAAAATTGGAAAAATTGTTAGCAGAGGATTTGGGTCTCATCAATACCTAGCACAACCCTGCAGCAGTAATACAAATAGTGTACCTACATAGCTGTGTAAAGACATACTTGTGAATTTTGTATCCTATAATTAAAAAAAAATTATCAACTATGCCAGAGGAAGGACTGAATTTATATATATATAAAAAAAGATATTACAAAGTCATACAGTGAAGTGACAAAGAGTATGCATCCAAAAAAGTTGGAAAAAATAATATATAGATATGTCAAGCAGTTAATAAAAATAGAATGTTATTTTTCTGGATTTTGTTATATTTCTGCTGTGTCAAGTAAAATTTATAATTTGTAATTTCTGTTACCATTGCACATAAATATTCACATTTAAAAGTACCTGACTTTGGCTGGGCGCGGTGGCTCACGCCTGTAATCCCAGCACTTTGGGAGGCTGAGGCGGGTGGATCACGAGGTCAGGAGATGGAGACCATCCTGGCTAACACAGTGAAACCCCGTCTCTACTAAAAATACAAAAAAATTAGCCGGGCGTTGTGGCGGCTGCCTGTAGTCCCAGCTACTTGGGAGGCTGAGGCAGGAGAATGGCGTGAACCCAAGAGGCAGAGCTTGCAGTGAGCCAAGATTGCGCCACTGCACTCCAGCCTGGGCGACAGAACGAGACTCCGTCTCAAAAAAAAAAAAAAAAAAGTACCTGACTTTGTATTCTTTTTTCTTAGTGGGTCCTTCAAATTGTATAAGCTTTAGGCCCCACAAAACCTAGTATTACCCAGCTTGTTGTATAATGAAGAGGTTAAATTATATTCAGGGATTAAAATGAAGTAAGAAGTCATGAAAATGATTTCATTCCTGAAATATCAATATAGATAATTCCATCATGTTTGGGTGAAATATCTATAAAACTAACACACTTTTAATAATTCTGACTTTCTGCTGTGATAATTCCAGTGGGTTGTTATGCTAACAGTCTCTCTTTTCTATGCCTCATCAAAGACCTCTTCTAAAGGAGGGGATAAAGGAGGGAGAAAACCCTATCCTTTCACGTGGAAAAGTCGTATTACCCCCTAAGCTTTAGTTTCTTCCTCTAAAAAATAAAGTTAGAAACCTCTCCCTGAGATCTGAAATATCACGGTTGAATTTCTGATGTTCCTGGATCCAAATGCCTAGTTTTTAGTTAAAGATAAAACTCAAATTGATAATATTTCCTTGTTAGCATAGGTACAAATTCTATGGAGACATTGATTAAAATACAAGACTAGCCAGGTAAAGCGGCTCATGGTTGTAATCCTAGCTCTTTGGGAGGCTGAGGTGGGAGGGTCACTTGAGGCCAGGAGTTCATGACAAGCCCGGGCAACATAGTGCAACCCTGTCTCTACAAAAATAAAATTTAAAAATTAGCTGGGCATAGTGGCACACACCTGTAGTCCGAGCTACTGGGGAGGCTGAGGCAGTAGGATCACTTGATCCCAGGAGTTTGAGGCAGCAGTGAGTGACCCATGATCATGCCATTGCACTCCAGCCTGGATGACAGTCAGATCCTGTCTCTAAAAAAATAATAAAGGCCAGGTGTGGTGGCTCATGCCTGTAATCCTAGCACTTTGGGAGGCCAAGGCAAGCAGATCAACTGAGGTCAGGAGTTCAAGAGCAGCCTGGCCAACATGGTGAAACCCCATCTCTACTAAAAATACAAAAATTAGCCGGATGTGGTGGCAGGCGCTTGTAATCCCAGCTACCTGGGAGGCTGAGGCAGGAGATTCACTGGAACCCGGGAGGCGGAGGCTGCAGTGAGCCGATATTGAGCCACTGCATTCCAGCCTGAACAACAGAGTGAGACTCTTGTCTCTAAATAAATAAATAAAACTACAAAACTAAATTACTGTATTCTTCAACTAATGGGACACAATATTCTTTTTTTTCTTTTTTGAGACAGAGTCTCACTCTGTCGCCCAGGCTGGAGTGCAGTGGCATGATCTCAGCTCACTGCAACCTCCACTTCCAGGGTTCAAGCTATTCTCCTGCCTCAGCCTCCAAAGTAGCTGGGATTACAGGCACGTGCCAACACGCCTGGCTAATTTTTGTATTCTTAGTAGAGATGGGGTTTCACCGTGTTGGCCAGGCTGGTCTTGAACTCCTGGCTTCGAACTCCTGGCCTCAAGTGATCCACCTGCCTCTGCCTCCCAAAGTGCTGGGATTACAGGCGTGAGCCACTGCGCCCAGCCAGGACACAATACTCTTGCATAAAGAAACGAAACTCTGGACAGTTCCGTTGTCGTGGGCTTTCTTATTTTCCTGCTTTGGCAATTGCTAACCAGAAAACTAGAAACCAACACAGAAAGAGGAGAAAGAGTATTTGGAGTGTCTGTATGAGTGTAAAATGTGATTGGGATTGTGGAAATACATAGATGGAGAGTTACTTATACTCCCAACCCCTCTGTATTCCAGGATGTTCACATATATGTCATGGACTAGGAAATTGGCTGCTGTGGTCTAAATGTACCCCCCAAAATTCATATATTGAAACATAATTGCCAATATGCTACAATTAAGAGGTGGGGTCTTTAGAAAGTAATTAAGTCATGAGGGCAGAGCTCTTATGAATGGGATTAATGACCTTACAAAAGGTGCAAGGAAGCTGCTTGTTCCTTTTCACTCTTTCTACCATGTTAATATGCACCAAGAAAGCACCATTTTGGAAGCAGGGAGTGACGCTGAACCTGCTGGCGCTGATCTTGGATTTTCCAACCTCCAGAACTGTGAGAAATAAATTTCTGTTGTTTATAAATTACCCACTCTAAGATATTTTGTTATAGTAGCAGGAATGGACTGAGACACTGGCATATTCCATAATTTGTAGATTTTATATTTTTATTGCATACAAATTGTGCTATAAATATAAATACATTATAGAAGTGACCATTTTAAAAAGACATCCCATATATTAGATTTTAAAATGCTTTGTGTGGAATTTTACAAAAAGTATAGTGAAGCACTCTTTACCTCTCAAGTATGTCACTGATAAGGGTTTATTGATATTATCATCTCTATTTTATTTATTTTGAGACAGAGTCTTGCTTTGTTGCTCAGGCTGGAGTGCAGTGGTGTGATCTCAGCTCACCACAACATCGCCTCCTGGGTTCAAGCGATTCTCCTGCCTCAGCCACCCGGTTAGCTGGGACTACAGGCACGCACCACTATGCCCAGCTAAATTTTTTGTATTTTTAGTAGAGATGGGGTTTCACCATGTTGGCCAGGCTGGTCTTGAACTCCAGGCCTCAAAGGCACCTCCTGGGTTGAAGTGATTCTTCTCCCTCAGCCTCCCAAGTAGCTGGGAGGCCACCACACCCGGCTAATTTTTGTATTTTTAGTAGAGACAGGGTTTTGCCATGCTGGCCAGACTGGTCTCGAACTCCTGGCCTCAAGTGATCTGCCTGCCTTGGCCGCCCAAAGTGTGAACCACTGCGCCCAGCTAGTGCTTCTCAAAATTCAATGTAAATATTAATCATCTAGTGTGGGGGTTCCCACTCCCTGGGGCACAGATTGGTACTGGTCTGTGGCCTGTTAGGAACCTGGCTGCACAGCAGGAGGTGACCAGCGGGCAAGTGAGTGAAGATTCATCTACATTTACAGCCACTCCCCATCACTCTCATTACAGCCTGAGCTCTGCCTCTTGTCACATCATCAGCAGCATTAGATTCTCATAGAAGCGCGAATCCTATTGCAAACTGTTCATGTGAGGGATCTAGGTTACATGCTCCTTATGAGAATCTAATGCCTGATGATCTGTCACTGACTCCCATCACCCCCAGATGGGACTGCCTAGTTGCAGGAAAACAATATCAGCGCTTCCACTGATTCTACATTATGGTGAGTCGTATAATTAATTATTTCATTATATATTACAATGTAATAATAATAGAAGTAAAGTGCACTGGCCAGACATGGTGGCTCACACCTATAATCCCAGTACTTTGGGAGGCCGAGGCAGGTGGATCATTTGAGACCAGGAGTTTGAGACCTGCCTTGACCAACATGACGAAACCCCATCTTTACTAAAAAATACAAAAATCAGCTGGGTGTGGTGGCACATGCCTGTAGTCCCAGCTACTCTGGAGGCTGAGGCATGAGAATCTCTCAAACTCAGGAGGCAGTGGTTGCAGTGAGCCAAGATTGCACAACTGCACCCCAGCCTGGGCAACAGAGCGAGACTGCCTCAAAAAAAAAAAAAAAAAAGTGCACAATAAATACAATGCACTTGAATCATCCCAAAACCATCACCATCCCCTGCCAGTCCATGGAAAAAATATCCTCCATGAAACCAGTCCTTGGTGCCAAAATGGTTGCGAACCGCTGATCTACGGGATCTTGTTAAATGCAGATTCTTATTTAATAGATCTCAAAATGAGGCTCATGATTCTGCATTTCTAGCAGGCTACCAGATAACGTTTATGGTGGTCTGACAACTACCCTTTGAGTAGCAAGAATCTAGACTACAGCAGTGATTCCAAAGTTACCAAAGCATTTGGGAAACAGAATAAACAGAGATTTTAGTTCCCCACTCCAACCCATTAAAACCAGAATCTCAGTTTCTGAGGCCCTGGAAATATGTATTTTTTAATGCTTTTCAACTGGTTCCAATGATCAATCGGTATTTTCAGACTTTAGGTCCTGACCTATTTAGTTTTTAATGAAATCAATGATTTAGACTGTGACCAGAAATTTTAAAAGATAAGCAATAGAGTAGAAAATATCAATGTGCACTTCACATAAGAATAAGTATTATTTCATGAAATCAGGCTGGGCGTGGTGGCTCATGCCTGTAATCCCTGCACTTTGGGAGGCTGAGGCAGGTGGATCACTTGAGGTCAGGAGTTTGAAAACAGCCTGACCAACATGGTGAAACCCCGCCTCTACTAAAAATACAAAATTAGCTGGGCGTGGTGGTGCACACCTGTAATCCCAGCTATTTGGGGGGCTGAGGCAGGAGAATTGCTTGAACCCGGGAGGCAGAGGTTGCAGTGAGCTGGAATCGCATCATTGCACTCCAGTCTGTGCAACAAGAGCGAAACTCCATCTCAGAAAAAAAAAAAGCATTATTTCATGAAATCTTTGCCTCAGTTATATATCCATGTAATATGTATGTGCTAGGTCACAATGTAAAATGCATTTCTATGGATCACAAAAAATGTTTGGAAAATTCCAACTATTTGGTGTTATTATATTAATAGTTCTCATTCCATCTACCCTCTGACACTTTATACTCTTTTTTTGTTTTTTTGTTTGTTTTGTTTTGTTGTTTGTTTTGTTTTGTTTTGTTTTTTTTGCGATGGAGCCTTGCTCTGTCGCCCAGGCTGGAGTGCAGTGGCATGATCTTGGCTCACTGCAAGCTCCGCCTCCTGGGTTCACACCATTCTCCTGCGTCAGCCTCCTGAGTAGCTGGGACTACAGGCGCCCGCCACCACACCCGGCTAATTTTTTGTAATTTTAGTAGAGGTGGGGTTTCACCGTGTTAGCCAGGATGGTCTCTATCTCCTGACCTCGTGATCCACCCACCTCAGCCTCCCAAAGTGCTGGGATTACAGGCATGAGCCAGCACGCCCAGCCGACACTTTATACTCTTAAAATTTATTAAGAAGCCCAAAGAGCTGCTGTTTATCTGAATAGTGTCTATCAACATCTACTGTATTATGAGCTATGATGGCACCATTGCGCTACAGTCTGGGTGACAGAGACTCTGTCTCAAAAAAAGGTTTAATTTCTGTTTTAGAAATTAAAATTGAAATTAAGAAATATAATTCATTACTAATTCGTTTAACGTAACAATTAGAGGAAACCCGGGTGCCACCAAGATGCCGGCTTACCACTCTTCTCTCATGGATCCTGACAACAAACTCATTGGAAACATGGCATTCTTATCTATCAAAAGTCAATTCAAAGGACCTGCCCCTAGAGAGACAAAAGATAGAGATATTGTGGATGAAGCCATTTATTACTTCAAGGCCAATGTCTTCTTCAAAAACTATGAAATTAAGAATGAAGCTGACAGGACCTTGATATATATACCTCTCTACATTTCTGAGTGTCTGAAGAAACTCCAAAAGTGTAATTCCAGAAGCCAAGGTGAGAAAGAAATGTATACACAGGGAATCAATAATTTTCCTGTTCCTGAAGAGCCTAGTTTTCCACTTAATGCAATTTATGCCAAACCTGCAAACAGGAAGATGAAGTGATGAGAGCCTGTTTACAACAGCTAAGGCAAGAGACTGGACTGAGACTTTGTGAGCAAGTTTTCAACCCTCAGAATGATCAACCCAGCACGTGGTGGACTTGCTTTGTGAAGAGACAGTTCATGAACAAGAGTCTTTCAGGACCTGGACAGTGAAGGGAGCCCAGGCAGCCACCATCTCCAGAGCCCTGAGCAGCATTTTCCAGCAAGATGTACACAATCTTTTGCCTTTATTTCATAAAGTTTTATACAGAAGAGAGAAGACCAGAAAAGCATGTCTTTACTTGAAAAACTCTTGATCAAGAATTCGGGTGGGAGCAAAGAAAGTGGGTTATCAAGGGTTATTTGAAATTTTCTGTAGTATTAAGCTGGCACTTAATAAGAATAATAATAAAGAAATTTCTAACATTCAAAAAAATAACAATTAGAAACTCATATATTAGCATAAATAATACACATGTTTATGAAATAATAATTAGGCCAGGTGTGGTGGCTCACACCTGTAATCTCAACATTTTGGGAGGGCAAAGTGTGCAGATTGCTTTAGTTTTGAGACCAGCCTAGGCAACGTGGTGAAACCCCATCTCTACTAAAAATTAGACAGTCATGGTAGCACGTGCCTGTAGTCCCAGCTACCTGGGAGGCTAAGATGGGAGGATCACCTGAGCCTAGGAGATCGAGGCTGCAGTGAACCATGATCGTACCACTGCACTCCATCCAGCCTGGGACACAGAGTGAGACCCTGTCTTAAAAACAACAACAGCAACAAAACAAACAGTAGCTTTGTTTTAACACTTTTCAAATCTAATGTCTGGAGTGGTACAAACACCCTAAGGTGTTACCAGTGAGTTTTGTGAGTGCAGGAAAATCTGTGCCTTGCTTCTAGCCAAAAGAATATGGCAAAAGGGATGATACAGTGACTCCCATAATCATATTATGTTATATAAGACTCTATCATAGCTGACTGGAGGGAGATTTCCCTGCTGGCTTTGAAGAAATAAGTGGCCATGTTGTGAGAGGACCACGTGGCAAGGACTTGTGGATGACCTCTGGTTGCTTAGAGCAGTCCTTAGCCAACAGCTAGCCATTAAATAAGGCCTTCAGTGCTACAAGACACTGAATTCTGCCTACAACCAGCGAGCTTGGATAAGGATCTGAGCCTTAGATGAGATTGCAGCCCTGGCCAACTCCTTGATTTTAGCATTGTGAGACCCTGAGAAAAAACCCTGAGGAGCTCGTCTGAACCTAGACTCCCAACCCATGGAAAACTGATATAATAAGTGAGTGTTGTCTTAAGCTGCTAAAGTGATAATTTGTACACAGTAATAGAAAACTGATATATATGGCTTCTTACATTGGCTTCTGCATTCAACTATTGCAACATGTTGTTTTAATTGAAGTACATAAAGAAAATCCAGCCTCACACAGATCAGTTATGTAGCTGGAAAAGGGAAGGTTGTATTTTAGTGGCTTTTTACGATTATCATGAATAGTCTTCTTTGCACTACATCAAAACTCAACTGGTTGTAGTTTCTTAAATGTTAGTTGGAAAAATGTCCAAATTGGAAAGAAAAGTAAAATTATCTCTGCTGACAGATGACATGATCTTATATTTAGAAAACCATGAAGATTCCACAAAATTGTTAGCACAAAGTCAGCAAAAAGGCAGGATACAAAATCAACACTCAAAAAATCACTGGTGTTTCTATACAATAACAATGAACAATCTGAAAAGGAAATTAAGAAAATTCCATTTACAATAGCATTGAAAAGAATAAGATACTTAGGAATTAACCAAGAAGGTACAAGATTTGTAGATTGAGAACTGTAAGTATTGCTGCGAGAAATTAAAGAGGACACACATAAAAGAAAAGCCACCCCATGTTCATGGATTGGAAGACTTAATACTGTTAAGATGTCAGTACTACCCAAAGTACTCTACAGATTCAATACAATCTTTATTGAAATTCCAATGACATTTTTTTGCAGAAATGTGGAAATCCATGCTAAAATTCACATGGAATATCAAGAGACCGCAAATTGCCAAAACAATCCTGGAAAAGAATAATAAAGTTAGCAAGACTCACTTTTTGATTTCAAAACTTATTACAAAGCTACAGTAATCAAAACAGTATAGTGCTGGTGTAAAATACTATATAGCCCAATGGAATAGAATAGAGAGTCCTGAAACAAACACATATATGGTCAAGTAATTTTCAACAAGGGTGCCAAGATCACTCAGTGGGGAAAGGGCAGTCTTTTCAACAAATAGTGCTGAGAAAACTGGATATCCACATGCAAAAGAATGAAGTTAGACCCTTACACAACACCATACACAAAAATTAACTAATGGATCAAAGACCTAAACATAAGAGATTAGACTATGCAATTCTTAGAAGAAAACATAGGGGGAAATCTTCATGACATTGGATTTGGCAATGAATTCTTGAATATGACCCCAAAAGCACAGGCTACAATTGTGAAAAACAAACAAATCGAACTTCAAAATTTAAACTTTTGTGCATTAAAGAACACTATCAACAGGTAAAAATGTAACCCACAGAATAAGGAGAAAATATTTGTAAGTCACATATCCTCAAAAGGGATAAATATCCAGAATATAGCATAAAGAACTCCTAACATTCAACAACAAAAACAAAAAACCCAAATTTAAAAATTGTCTAAAGACTTCGATAGACATTTTTACAAAAAAGACATACAGTTGACCAATAAGCTCATGAAAAGATGCACATCACTAATAATTAAGAAAATGCAAATGAAAAACCATGAAAACTAAAAAAACTACGATGAGATATATCTTTGTACACAGCCATTAGAATGACTATTATCAAAACAATTTTTAAAAAAATGTTGAGGATGTGGAGAAATTGAAATTCTGCTGCATTCTTGGTAGGAATGTATAATAAAATGGTGCAACCACCGTGGAAAACATGATGGTTCCTTAAAAAGTTAGGCTGGGCACGGTGGCTCATGCCTGTAATCCCAGCAATTTTTGGGAGGCCGAGGCGGGCGGATCACCTGAGGTCAGGAGTTCGACACCAGCCTGGCAACATGATGAAACCTCGTCTCTACTAAAAATACAAAAATTAGCTGGGCATGGTGGCACACGCTTGTAATACCAGCTATTCGGAAGGCTGAGGCAAGAGAATTGCTTGAACCCAGGAAGTGGAGGTTGCAGTGAGCTGAGATTGCGCCCCTGCACTCTAGCGTGGGTGACAGAGTAAGACTCTGTCTCAAAACAAAACAAAACAAAAAACATAGAACTTCCATATGATTTAGCAAGTTCACTGCTAGGTATATACCCAGAATAATTGAAAACAGACTCAGATACCTGCACATCAGTGTTCATACCAGCATTATTCACAATAGCCAAAGGTGAAAACTATTCAAATATCCACAGATGAATGGATAAACAAAATGTGGTATACGCATACAATGGAAAATTATTCAGTCATAAAAAGGAATGAAATTCTGATACATGCTACAATATGGATGAATCTTGAAAACATTATGCTAAGTGAAATAATCCAGACACAAAGGACAAATGTAGTATTCCATCTATATAAGGTACCTAGAATGCATATAGAAGGAAAGTATAATACAAGTTACCAGGGACTCAGGGGAGGGTAATGGGACGTTGTTTAATAGGTAGAGTTTCTCTTTGGAATGATGAAAAAGCTTTGGAAATGGACAGTGGTGATGGTTTAATCACCAATATGAATATACTTAATGCCACTGTACTGTACACTTAAAATAATTAAAATGGTAGATTTTAAGTTAGGTATATTTTACAATTTTTTTTAAATTGCCCGCAATTCAGAGGTAGAAAAAGAAGTTAGTTGCAAAAAGAAGTTAGGTGGAATCTGAAATTATATCAATGATTTTCATACTTTGTTACATTAAAATTCACTGGACTATCTTGCACTATAATTGGCTCTTTTACCCATGCATGATTTTGTAACATCATGCATTGGACAATCTGAAAAATACTGGTCTGCTGAGTTATACAGATCTTCCAAAAATTAACTCATTTAATTATACACCATAAAAATTGTATACCAGTATCACTACCAGTATTTTCAGAAAAGTCATTAAGTATTGGAAAAATGTCAAACTCATGATGTAAGAAGAAGGAAATGAGAGTTACGGATGTGTTTTCCAAAATTATTTTTTCCTTGAGTTTTATCATTGGCAACAAATACAGTCAGATGTTTTTCTTGAAATGATAAGCTCATTTCATTCATTTTAGAGAAAATCTCTGCCAAATACTCATCTGGATAACCATATTTCTCTGTCAGTTTTTCTTTCAAATAAAAATGGTGGTCTCTGAGAAAAACAGCTATTTCAGCTTGCAACTCAATCAGTTTGAGTAGTTTTCCTTGAGAAACCACTGTACTTTGGCATGCAGATGTACTTTACACACACTTCCCATTTTGTCACACAGAATATTACAAAGATGTATACTCAAGGTTTGAGATTTAATAAAATTATTACTTTTTACTGCCTCACCAAGAGTATTTTTCTTGAGAGGCAGAGCAAGATGGCAGAATAGAAGGCTTCACCAATCATCTCCACCACAAGGAGCCCAATTTTACAACTGTCTACACAGAAAAGAACACCGTCATAAGAACCAAAAATCAGGTGAACACTCATAGTACCTGGTTTTAACTCCATATCGCTGAAAGAGGCACTGAAAAGATAGAAAAAACAGTCCCAAATTGCCAACACCACCCCTTCCCCACCCCTGGCAGCAGTGGCATGGTGCGGAGAGCTGCTCTGGTCACTGGGGGAAGGAGAACACAGCAATTGTGAGGCTGTGAACTCAGTGCTGTCCTGGTAGAGCAGAAAGGAAAACTGGACCAGACTCAGTGACACCTGCCCATGGAGGGAACATTTAAACCAGCCCTAGCCAAAGGGGAATCACAGATCACAGTGGTTGGAACTTGAGTTCCTGCAAACCTCACCACTGAGGGCTACAGTGCTCTGCGTCTCCAAGTAAACTTGAAAGACAGTGTAAGCCATAAGGACTGCAACTCTTAGGCGTGTCCTAGTGCCGAACTGGGCCCAGAGACAGTGGACTGGGGGGCCATGCAACCTACTGAGACACCAGCTAGGGCAGCTAAGGGAGGGCTGGCATTATCCATCCCCTAGTCCCACGCTGCACAACTCACACTCCACAAGGAACCCCGTCCTTCTGCTTGAGAAGAGGAGAGGGAAGAGTGGGCAGGACTTTGTCTTGCATCTTGGATATACCAGCTCAGCCACAGCAGGATAGGGCACCGGTCAGAGTCATGAGGCCCCTGATGCAGGCCCTAGCTCCTAGGCATCATTTCTAGACACACCTTGGTCCAAAAGGAAATCTGCTGCCTTGAAGGAAATAACCCAGTCCTTGCAGCATTCATCATTTTCTAATGAAGAGCCCTTGGCCCCTGAATAACCAGCAGCGATACCCAGGTACTGCACTGAGGGCCTTGGTGAGCCTCTGAGACTTGCTGGCTTCAGGGGAGACTCAGCATATTACCAGCTGTGATGGCTATGAGGCAAAACTCCTTCTGCTTGAGAAAAGCAGAGGGAAAAATAAAAGGGTCTTTGTTTTGCACCCTAGGAACCAGCATGGCCACAGGGGATAGAGCATCAAGTGGACTCATGGAAACCCTAATTCTAGGACTTGACTCTTGGATGGTATTTCTGGACATGCCGTGGGCCAGAGGGGAGCCCACTGCCATAAAGGGTGAGTCCCAGGCCAGGCCGCATTCACCACAAGCTGACTTAAGAGCCTTTGGTCTTTAAGAGAACATCAGACATAGTCCAGCAGTACGCTTCATGACCCAGGGTGGTGGTGGCTACAGGGTGATGCTCCTTTGCCTTTGGAGAGGAGGGAAGAGTGGGAAGGACTCTGTCTTGTGATTTGAGTGCCAGCTCAGCCACAGTACAATATAACGCCAGGTAGACTTCTAAGATTTTCGACTCTAGTCCCTGACTCTTGGTTGGCACCTCTGGACTCATCCAGGGCCTGCAGGACCTTGCTGCCCCAAAGGAAAGGAGACAGGCCTGGCTGGCTTTGCCACCTGCTGATTGTACAGCCCCAGGGCCTTGAGAGAACATAGGCACTAGCCAGGGAGTGGTTACAGCTGACCTTGGGCAAGACCAAGTGCTGTGCTGGCTTCAGGTCAGCAGTCATAGTGGTGGTGCAGTCATGGTGTTGGTGGCCACAGGGATGCTTGTGTCACTCCATGCCCAGCTTTAGGTGGCTCAGAACAAAGAGAAATACTCTGGGATAAAGTAAAGGAAGAGAACAAGAGTCTCTCCTGGTAATCCAGAGAAGTCTCCCAGATCTTGTCCAAGACCATCATGAGTCTTCAAGAACCACAGCATTACTGGCCTTGGGGTGCTCCCTAAAGCAGATACAGCTTAGATCACAACACCTAGGTCCTTTCAAATATCTGGAACGCCTTCCCAAGAAGGATAGATACAAATAAGCCCAGGCAGTGAAGACTACAGTAAATAATTCTTCAATGCCCAGACACTGAAGAACATCTACTAGCATTATCACCATCTAGGAAAACATGACCTCACCAAATGAACTAAATAAGGTACCAGGTACCAATCCTGGAGAAAGAGATATGTGACCTTTCAGATGGATAATTTAAAATAGCTGTGTTGAGGAAACTCTAAGAAATTTAAGATAACAGAAGGAATTCAGAATTCTATCAGATAAATTTTAAAAAGAGACTAAAATAATTTTTTAAAATCAAGCAGAAATTCTTGAGCTGAAAAATGCAGTTGGCAGCCAAGCAAGATGGCTCACGCCTGTGATCCCAGCACTTTGGGAGGCCAAGGTGGGCAGATCACCTGAGGTCAGGAGTTCGAGACCAGCCTGGCCAAGATGGTGAAACCCCGTCTCTACTAAAAAACAAAAATTAGCTGGATGTGGTGGCAGGCACCTGTAATCCCAGCTACTTGGGAGGCTGAGGCAGGAGAATAGCTTGAACCCGGGAGACGGAGGTTGCAGTGAGCCAAGGTCACGCCATTGCACTCCTGCCTGGGTAACAACGGCGAAACTCTGGCTGAAAAAAAAAATGCAGTTGGCATACTGAAAAATTCATCAGAGCCCTTTAGCAGCATTGATCAAGCAGAAGAAAGAATTAGTGAGCTGGAAGACAGTTTATTTGAAAATACACAGAAGAGACAAAAGAAAAAATAAAAACGCACCTACAGGATCTAGCAAATAGCTTAAAAAGGGCAAATCTAAGTGTTATTGGCCTTAAAGAGGAAGTAGAGAAGAGATAGGGGTAGAAAGTTTATTCAAAAGGGATAATAACAGAGAACTCCCCAAACCTAGAGAAAGATATCAGTATCCAAGTACAAGAAGGTTATAGAACATCAAGCAGATTTAACCCAAAGAATGCCATCTCAAGGCATTTAATAATCAAACTCCCAAAGGTCAAAGATAAAGAAAGGACCCTAAAAGCATCAAGAGAAAAGAAACAGATAATATACATTGGAGTGCCAATACATTTAGCAGCAGATTTTTCAGTGGCCAGGAAAGAATGTCATGACATATTTGAAGTGATGAAGGAAAAAATCTTTTACCCTAGAATAGTATATTCAGCAAAAACATTCTTCAAGCATGAAGGAGAAATAAAGACTTTCCCAGACAAACAAAAGCTGAGGGATTTCATCAACACCACACCTGTTCTACAACAAATGCTAAAGGGAGTACTTCATTCAGGACATTAATGAGCAATAAGTGATCACCCAAAGGTACAAAACTCACTGTTAATAGTACACAGAATATTATTATGCTGTAACTGTGGTGTGTAAACTACTCATCCTAAGTAGAAAGACTAAATGATGAACCAGGCTGGGTGCAGTCGGTGGCTCACACCTGTAATCCCAGCACTTTGGAAGGCTGAGGTGGGTGGATCACTTGAGGTCGGGAGTTCAAGACCAGCCTGGCCAACATGGCAAAACCCCATCTCTATAAAAAATACAAAAGTTAGTTGGGCGTGGTGCCGGGCACCTGTAATTCCTGCTACTCAGAAAGATGAGGCAGGAGAATCACTTGAACATGGGAGGTGGAGGCTGCAGTGAGCAGAGATTGCACCACTGCACTCCAGCCTGGGCAACAGAGTGAGACCCATTCTCAAAAAAAAAAAAAAAAAAAAGATGAGCCAATCAAAAATAACTGCAACAACTTTTCAAGACATAGTTGGTAAAATAAGATAAAAATAGAGACAATAAAAAGTTAAAAAGCAAGGGGATGAAGTTAAGGCATAGAGTTTTTATTCACTTTCTTTTTGATTGTTTCTTTATGCAAACGGTGTTAACTTGTTATCAGGTTAAAATGATGGATCATAAGATAGTATCAGCAAGCCTCATGGTAACCTCAAACCAAAAAACATACAATAGAGACACAAAAAATAAAAAGCAAGAAACTAAATCATATCACCAAAGAAAATCATCATAACTAAAGGAAGACAAGAAGGAAAAAAGAAATATTGACTAGCCTTAAAAAGAGAAAAATAAAAAAGAAGGAAGAAAAAAACACAAAACAACCAGAAAACAAATAACAAAATGGCAGGAGTAAGTCCTTACTTATCAATAATAATATTAAATGTAAATGGACTAAACTCTCAAGTCAAAGGCGTAGAGTGGCAGAATAGATGAATAAACAAGACCCATTGATTTATTTCTATAAGAAACACACTTCACCTATAAAGACCCACATAAACTGAAAATAAAGGGATGGAAAAAGATATTCCATGCCAATGGAAACCAAAAAAGAGCAGGAGTTGGTATACTTACATCAAACAAATAAATTTCAAGACCAAAACTATAAGAAGAGGCAAAGAAAGTCTCTATATAATGATAAAGGGGTCAATTCAGCAAGAGAATATAACAATTTTAAATATATATGCACCCAACACTGGATCACCCACATATATAAAGCAAATATTATTGGAGCTAAAGAGAGAGATAGGCCTTGATATGATAATAGCTGGAGACTTCAGGACCCCACTTTCAGCATTGGACAGATCTTCCAGACAGAAAATCAACAAAGAAACATCAGACTTAATCTACACTGTAGACCAAATGGATCTAATAGATATTTACAGAACATTTCATCCAACAGCTGCAGAATACACATACTTTTCCTCAACACATGATTATTCTCAAGGATAGACCATATGTTAGGTTATGAAACAAGTCTTAAAACATTCAAAAAAATTTAAGCATCTTCTCTGACCACAATGGAATAAAACTAGAAATTAATAACATGAGGAATCTTGGAAACTATGCAAATATATGGAAATTAAACAATATCCTCCTGAATGACCAGTGGGTCAATGAAGAAATTTAGAAGGAAATTGAAAAGCTTCTTGAAACAAATGATTATGGAAACACACATACCAAAACATAGGATACAGCAAAAGCAGTACTAAGAGGGAATTTATAGCTACAAGTGCCTACATCAAAAAAGAGGAAGACTTTCTCTTTCTTTCTTTCTTTCTTTCTTTCTTTCTTTCTTTCTTTCTCTTTCTTTCTTTCTTTCTCTTTCTTTCTTTCTTTCTTTCTTTCCTTTCTTTTCTTCTTTTCTTTCTTTCTCTCTCTTTTTTTCCTTTCTTTTCTTCTTTTCTTTCTTTCTTTCTTTTCTTTTCTTTTTTTTTTTTGAGACAGAGTCTCACTCTGTCACCTGTCACCCAGGCTGGAGTGCAATGGCACAATCACAGCTCACTGCAGCTGAGACCTTCCAGGCTCAGGTGATCCTCCCACTTCAGGCCCCTCAAGGAGCTGGGACTACAGGTGTGTGCCATCACACCTGGCTAATTTTTTGTAGAGATAGGGCTTTGCCATGTTTCCAAGGCTGGTCTCAAACTCCTGAGCTCAAGTGACCTGCCCACCTCGGCCTCCCAAAGTGCTAGGATTACATGTGTGAGCCACCCAGCACTTTGGGAAAACTTCAAATAAACAATCTGGCAATGCATCTTAAAGAACCAGAAGGTGGCAGGGGGTGAGGGAGGCTAAGAAAATAAAAAAAGAACTAGAAGAGCAAGAGCAAACCAAACCTAAAATTAGTAGAAGAAAAGAAATAATAAAGATCAGAGCAGAAAGAAATAAAATTGCAATAAACCCAAAAGATCAATGAAACAAAATATTGTTGTTTTGAAAAGTTAAACCAGGCTGGGCACGGTGGCTCATGCCTGTAATCCCAGTACTTTGAGAGACCGAGGCGGGTGGATCACCTGAGGTCAGGAGTTTGAGACCAGCCTGGCCAACATGGTGAAACCCTGTCTCTACTAAAAATACAAAAAAAACTAGCTGGGCATGGTGTCAGGTGCCTGTAATCCCAGCTACTCAGGAGGCTGAGGCAGGAGAATCGTTTGAACCCAGGAAGCGGAAGTTGCAGTGAGCCGAGATCGAGACTTAGTCTCAGGAAAAAAAAAAAAGAAAAGTTAAACCAAATTGACAAACCTTTAACCAGATTACCTAAGAAGAAAGCAGAGAAGATACAAATAAAATCAGAAACAAAAAAGGAGACATTACAACTGATATTGCAAAAATTCAAAAGATCATTAATGACTTACTATGAATAACCAAATGGCAATAAATTGGAAAATCTAGAAGACAGAGACAAATTCCTAGACAAATACAACCTACCAAGATTGAACCAGGAAGAAATCCAAAACCTGAACAGACCAATAATAAGTAAGAAAATCGGGTGGGTTCCAAGATGGCTGAATAGGAACAGCTCCAGTCTACAGCTCCCAGTGTGAGTGACGCAGAAGACGGGTGATTTCTGCATTTCCAACTGAGGTACCAGGTTCATCTCACTGGGGCTTGTCAGACAGTGGGGGCAGGACAGTCGGTGCAGCCCACTGAGCATGAACCAAAGCATGCTCGGTCAGGTCAAAGCACAAGGGGTCAGGGAATTCCCTTTCCTAGCCAAGGGAAGTGGCGATGGATGGCACCTGGAAAATCAGGTCACTCCCACCCTAATATTGTGCTTTTCCAATGGTCTTAGCAAACTGCACACCAGGAGATTATATCCCACACCTGGCTCAGAGGGTCCTATGCCCATGGAGCCTCACTCATTGCTGGCACAGCAGTCTGAGATTGAACTGCAAGGCCACAGTGAGGCTGGGGGAGGGGCGCCCGCCATTGCTGAGGCTTGAGTAGGTAAACAAAGCGGCCAGGAAGCTGGAACTGGGTGAGGCCCACCACAGCTCAAGGAGGCCTGCCTGCCTCTATAGACTGCACCTCTGAGGGCAGGGCATAGCCAAACAAAAGGCAGCAGAAACCTCTGCAGACTTAAATGTCCCTGTCTGACAGCTTTGAAGTGAGTAGTGGCTCTCCCAGCACGGAGTTTGAGATCTGAGAAAAGACAGACTGCCCCCTCAAGTGGGTCCCTGACCCCAGAGTAGCCCAACTGGGAGGCACCCTCCAGTAGGGGCAGAGTGACACCTCACACAGCTGGGTACCCCTCAGAGACAAAGCTTCCAGAGGAATGATCAGGCAGCAACATTTGCTGTTCAGCAACATTCGCTGTTCTGCAGCCTCCGCTGCTGATACCCAGGCAAACAGGGTCTGGAGTGGACCTCCAGCAAACTCCAACAGACCTGCAGCTGAGGGTCCTGACTGTTAGAAGGAAAACTAACAAACAGAAAGGACATCCACACCAAAACCCCATCTGTAAGTCACCAAAAGACCAAAGGTAGATAAAAACCACAAAGACGGGGAAAAAACAGAGCAGAAAAGCTGAAAATTCTAAAAATCAGAGTGCTTCTCTCCCTCCAAAGGAATGCAGCTCCTCGCCAGCAATGGAACAAAGCTGGATGGAGAATGACTTTGACGAGTTGAGAGAAGAAGGCTTCAGAAGATCAAACTTCTCTGAGCTAAAGGAGGAAGTTTGAACCCATCGCAAAGAACATAAAAACCTTGAAAAAAGATTAGACGAATGGCTAACTAGAATAACCAATGTAGAGAAGTCCTTAAATGACCTGATGGAGCTGAAAAATATGGCACGAGAACTACGTGACGAATGCACAAGCTTCAGTAGCCGATTTGATCAACTGGAAGAAAGGGTATCAGTGATTGAAGATCAAATGAGTGAAACGAAGCAAGAAGAGAAGTTTAGAGAAAAAAGGATACAAAGAAACGAACAAAGCCTCCAAGAAATATGGGACTATGTGAAAAGACCAAATCTACATCTGATTGGTGTACCTGAAAGTGATGGGATGAATGGAACCAAGTTGGAAAACACTCTGCAGGATATTATCCAGGAGAACTTCCCCAATCTAGCAAGGCAGGCCAACATTCAAATTCAGGAAATACAGAGAACACCACAAAGATACTCTTCGAGAAAAGCAACTCCAAGACACATAATTGTCAGATTCACCAAAGTTGAAATGAAGGAAAAAATGTTAAGGGCAGCCAGAGGGAAAGGTTGGGTTACCCACAAAGGGAAGCCCATCAGACTAACAGCAGATCTCTTGGCAAAAACTCTACAAGCAAGAAGAGAGTGGGGGCCAATATTCAACATTCTTAAAGGAAAGAATTTTCAACCCAGAATTTCGTATCCAGCCAAACTAAGCTTCATAAGTGAAGGAGAAATAAAATCATTTACAGACAAACAAATGCTGAGAGATTTTGTCACCACCAGGCCTGCCCTACAAGAGCTCCTGAAGGAAGCACTAAACATGGAAAGGAACAACCAGTACCAGCCACTGCAAAAACATGCCAAATTGTAAAGACCATTGATGCTAGGAAGAAACTGCATCAACTAACAAGCAAAATAACCAGCTAACATCATACTGATAGGATCAAATTCACACATAACAATATTAACCTTAAATGTAAATGGGCTAAATGCTCCAATTAAAAGACACAGACTGGCAAATTGGATAGAGTCAAGACCCATCAGTGTGCTGTATTCAGGAGACCCATCTCACGTGCAGAGACACATACAGGCTCAAAATAAAGGGATGGAGGAAGATCTACTAAGGAAATGGAAAACAAAAAAAGGCAGGGGTTGCAATCCTAGTCTCTGATAAAACAGACTTTAAACCAACAAAGATCAAAAGAGACAAAGGAGGCCATTACATAATGGTAAAGGGCTCAATTCAACAAGAAGAGCTAACTATCCTAAATATACATGCACCCAATACAGGAGCCCCCAGATTCATGAAGCAGGTCCTTAGAGACATACAAAGAGACTTAGACTCCCACACAATAATAATGGTAGACTTTAACACCCCACAGTCAACATTAGACAGATCAGTGAGACAGAAAGTTAACAAGGATACCCAGGAATTGAACTCAACTCTGCACCAAGCAGACCTAATAGACATCTACAGAACTCTCCACCCCAAATCAACAGAATATGCATTCTTCTCAGCACCACATCACACTTATTCCAAAACTGACCACATAGTTGGAAGTAAAGTGCTCCTCAGCAAATGTAAAAGAACAGAAATTATAACAAACTGTCTCTCAGACCACAGTGCAATCAAACTAGAACTCAGGATTAAGAAACTCACTCAAAACTGCTCAACTACATGGAAACTGAACAAGCTGCTCCTGAATGACTACTGGGTACATAACGAAATGAAGGCAGAAATAAAGATGTTCTTTGAATCCAATGAGACCAAAGACACAACATATCAGAATCTCTGGGACACATTTAAAGCAGTGTGTAGAGGGAAATTTATAGCACTAAATGCCCACAAGAGAAAGCAGGAAAGATCTAAAATTGATACCCTAACATCACAATTAAAAGGACGAGAGAAGCAAGAGCAAACACATTCAAAAGCTAGCAGAAGGCAAGAAATAACTAAGATCAGAGCAGAACTGAAGGAAATAGAGACACAAAAAACCCTTCAAAAAATCAATGAATCCAGGAGCTGGTTTTTTGAAAAGATCAACAAAACTGATAGACCGCTAGCAAGACTAATAAAGAAGAAAAGAGAGAAGAATCAAATAGATGCAATAAAAAATGATAAATGGGATATCACCACCAATCCCACAGAAATACAAACTACCACCAGAGAATACTATAAACACCTCTATGCAAATAAACTAGAAAATCTAGAAGAAATGGATAAATTCCTGGACACATACACTCACCCAAGACTAAACCAGGAAGAAGTTGAATCCCTCAATACACCAATAACAGGCTCTGAAATTGAGGCACTAATTAATAGCCTACCAACCAAGATGGAGTCACAGTTGAATTCTTACAGAGGTACAAGGAGGAGCTGGTACTATTCCTTCTGAAACTTCTCCAATCAATAGAAAAAGAGGGAATCCTCCCTAACTCATTTTATGAGGCCAGCATCATCCTGATACCAAAGCCTGACAGAGACACACACAAAAAAGAGAATTTTGGACCAACATCCCTGATGAACATTGACGCAAAAATCCTCAATAAAATACTGGCAAGCTGAATCCAGCAGCACATCAAAAAGCTTATCCACCATGATCAAGTGGGCTTCATCCCTGGGATGCAAGGCTGGTTGAACATACATAAATCAATAAACGTAATCCAGCATATAAACAGAACCAGTGACAAAAACCACATGATTATCTCAATAGATGCAGAAAAGGCCTTTGACAAAATTCAACAGCCCTTCATGCTAAAAACTCTCAATAAATTAGGTATTGATGGGACGTATCTCAAAATAATAAGAGCTATCTATGACAAACCCACAGCCAATATCATACTGAATGGGCAAAAACTAGAAGCATTCCCTTTGAAAACTGGCACAACACAGGGATGCCCTCTCTCACCACTCCTATTCAACATAGTGTTTGAAGTTCTGGCCAGGGCAATCAGGCAGGAGAAAGAAATAAAGGGTATTCAATTAGGAAAAGAGGAAGTCAAATTGTCCCTGTTTGCCGATGACATGATTGTATATTTAGAAAACCCCAACGTCTCAGCCCCAAATCTCATTAAGCTGATAAGCAACTTCAGCAAAGTCTCAGGATACAAAATCAATGTGCAAAAATCACAAGCATTCTTATACACCAATAACAGACAAACAGAGAGCCAAATCATGAGTGAACTCCCATTCACAATTGCTTTGAAGAGAATAAAATACCTAGGAATCCAACTTTACAAGGGATGTGAAGGACCTCTTCAAGGAGAACTACAAACCACTGCTCAATGAAATAAAAGAGGACACAAACAAATGGAAGAACATTCCATGCTCATGGGTAGGAAGAATCAATATCATGAAAATGGCCATACTGCCCAAGGTAATTTATAGATTCAATGCCATCCCCATCAAGCTACCAATGACTTTCTTCACAGAATTGGAAAAAACTACTTTAAAGTTCATATGGAACCAAAAAAGGGCCTGCATTGCCAAGACAATCCTAAGCCAAAAGAACAAAGCTGGAGGCACCACACTACCTGACTTCAAACTATACTACAAGGTATAGTAACCAAAACAGCATGGTACTGGTACCAAAACAGAGATATAGACCAATGGAACAGACCAGAGCCCTCAGAAATAATACCACACATCTACAGCCATCTGATCTTTGACAAACCTGACAAAAACAAGCAATGGGGAAAGGATTCCCTATTTAATAAATAGTGCTGGGAAAACTGGCTAGCCATATGTAGAAAGCTGAAACTGGATCCCTTCCTTACACCTTATACAAACATTAATTCAAGATGGATTAAAGACTTAAACGTTAGACCTAAAACCATAAAAACCCTAGAAGAAAACCTAGGCAATACCATTCAGGACATAGGCATGGGCAAGGACTTCATGACTAAAACACCAAAAGCAATGGCAACAAAAGCCAAAATTGACAAATGGGATCTAATTAAACTAAAGAGCTTATGCACAGCAAAAGGAACTACCATCAGAGTGAACAGGCAACCTACAGAATGGTAGAAAATTTTTGCAATCTACTCTTCTGACAAAGGGCTAATATCCAGAATCTACAAAGAACTCAAACAAATTTACAAGAAAAAAACAAACAATCCCATCAAAAAGTGGGCGAAGGAGATGCACAGACACTTCTCAAATGAAGACATTTATGCAGCCAACAGACACATGAAAAAATGCTCATCATCACTGGCCATCAGAGAAATACAAATCAAAACCACAATGAGATACCATCTCACACCAGTTAGAATGGCGATCATTAAAAAGTCAGGAATCAACAGGTGCTAGAGAGGATGTGGAGAAATAGGAGCACTTTTACACTGTTGGTGGAACTATAAACTAGTTCAGCCATTGTGGAAGATAGTGTGGCGATTCCTTAAGGATCTAGAACTAGAAATACCATTTGACCCAGCAATCCCATTACTGGGTATATACCCAAAGGATTATAAATCATGCTGCTATAAAGACACATGCACACGTATGTTTATTGCAGCACTATTCACAATAGCAAAGACTTGGAACCAACTCAAATGTCCAACAATGATAGACTGGATTAAGAAAATGTGGCACATATACACCATGGAATACTATGCAGCCATAAAAAAGGATGAGTTCATGTCCTTTGTAGGGACATGGATGAATCTGGAAACCATTATTCTCAGCAAACTATCGCAAGGACAAAAAACCAAACACTGCATGTTCTCACTCATAAGTGGGAATTGAACAATGAGAACCTTGGACACAGGAAGGGGAACATCACACACTGGGGCCTGTCATGGGGTGGGGGGAGTCGGGATGGATAGCATTAGGAGATATACCTAATGTAAATGATGAGTTAATGGGTGCAGCACACCAACATGACACATATATACATATGTAACAAACTTGCACGTTGTGCACATGTACCCTAGAACTTAACGTATAATAATAATAATAATAATAAAAGAAAATCAAAGCTGTAATTAAACGTCTCTCAATAAAGAAATGCCCAGGACTTGATGGTTCACTGCTGAATTTTACCAAACATTTAAAGAACTAATACTAATCCTACTGAAACTATTCTGAAAAATAGAGGATAAAGTAATATTTCTCAACATATTCTATAAGGCCAGTATTACCCTGATACCCACACCAGATAAAGACACATCAGAAAAAGAAAACTACAGGCCAATATCTCTGAAGAATATTGATGCAAAATTCCTCAACAAAATAGTAGTAAACTGAATTCAACAATACATTAGAAAGATCATTCATCGGATTCTCCTGCCTCAGCCTGCGGAGTGCCTGCAATTGCAGGCGCGTGCCGCCACACCTGACTGGTTTTCGTATTTTTTTGGTGGAGACGGGGTTTCGCTGTGTTGGCGGGGCGGGTCTCCAGCTCCTAACCGCGAGTGATCCGCCGGCCTCAGCCTCCCGAGGTGCCGGGATTGCAGACGGAGTCTGGTTCACTCAGTGCTCAGTGGCGCCCAGGCTGGAGTGCAGTGGCGTGGTCTCGGCTCGCTACAACCTCCACCTCCCAGCCGCCTGCCTTGGCCTCCCAAAGTGCCGAGATTGCAGCCTCTGCCCGGCCGCCACCCCGTCTGGGAAGTGAGGAGCGTCTCTGCCTGGCCACCCATCGTCTGGGATGTGAGGAGCCCCTCTGCCTGGCTGCCCAGTCTGGAAGGTGGGGAGCGTCTCTGCCCAGCCACCATCCCATCTGGGAAGTGGGGAGCGCCTCTTCCCAGCCGCCCTCACATCTGGGAAGTGAGGAGCGTCTCTGCCCGGCCGCCCATTGTCTGGGATGTGGGGAGCGCCTCTGCCCCGCCGCCCCGTCTGGGATGTGGGGAGCGCCTCTGCCCGGCCGCCACCCCGTCTGGGAGGTGAGGAGCGTCTCTGCCCGGCCGCCCCGTCTGAGAGGTGAGGAGACCCTCCGCCCGGCAGCCGCCCCGTATGAGAGGTGAGGAGCCCCTCCGCCCGGCAGCCGCCCCATCTGGGAAGTGAGGAGCATCTCCGCCCGGCAGCCACCCCGTCTGGGAAGTGGGGAGCATCTCCGCCCGGCAGCCACCCCGTCCGGGAGGGAGGTGGGGGGGGTCAGCCCCCCGCCCGGCCAGCCGCCCCGTCCGGGAGGGAGGTGGGGGGGTCAGCCCCCCGCCCGGCCAGCCGCCCCGTCCGGGAGGGAGGTGGGGGGGTCAGCCCCCCGCCCGGCCAGCCGCCCCGTCCAGAAGGTGAGGGGCGCCTCTGCCCGGCCGCCCCTACTGGGAAGTGAGGAACCCCTCTGCCCGGCCAGTCGCCCCGTCTGGGAGGGAGGTGGGGGGGTCAGCCCCCCGCCCGGCCAGCAGCCCCGTCCGGGAGGTGAGGGGTGCCTCTGCCCGGCCGCCCCTGCTGGGAGGTGAGGAGCCCCTCTGCCCGGCTGCCACCCCGTCTGGGAGGTGTGCCCAACAGCTCATTGAGAGCGGGCCAGGATGACAATGGCGGCTTTGTGGAGTGGAGGGGGGGGAAGGGTGGGGAAAAGATTGAGGAATCGGATGGTTGCCGTGTCTGTGTAGAGGGAGGTAGACATGGGAGACTTTTCATTTTGTTCTGTACTGAGAAAAATTCTTCTGCCTTGGGATCCTGTTGATCTGTGACTTTACCCCCGACCCTGTGCTCTCTGAAACATGTGCTGTGTCCACTCAGAGTTAAATGGATTAAGGGCGGTGCAAGATGTGCTTTGTTAAACAGATGCTTGAAGGCAGCATGCTCATTAAGAGTCATCACCACTCCCTAATCTCAAGTACCCAGGGACACAAACGCTGCGGAAGGCCGCAGGGTCCTCTGCCTAGGAAAACCAGAGACCTTTGTTCACTTGTTTATCTGCTGACCTTCCCTCCACTATTGTCCTTTGACCCTGCCAAATCCCCCTCCGTGAGAAACACCCAAGAATGATCAATAAAAAAATAAATAAATAAATAAATAAATAAAAGAAAGATCATTCATCATGACCAAGTGGGATTTATCCCAGGGATGCAACGATGGTTCAACATATGCAAATCAATCAATGTGATACATCATATCAGCAGAATGAAGGATACAAACCATATGATCATTTCAATTGATGCTGAAAAAGCTTTCGATAAAATTTAACATCCTTAATGATAAAAGCCCTCAAAAAACTGGGGATACAAGGAACATAACATAACAAAAGTCATATACTACAGACTCACAGCTAGTATCATACTGAACGGGGAAACACTGAAAGCCTTTCCTGTAAGACCTAGAACATGACAAGGATGTTTGCTGTCACCGCTGTTAGTCAACATTGTACTGGAAGTCCTAGCTGGAACAATCAGACAAGGGAAAAAAAATAAAGGGCATCCAAATTGGAAAAAAAGAAGTCAAATTATCCTTGTTTGCAGATGATATCTCTTATATGTGGAAAAACCTAGACTCCACTAAAAAACTATTGGAAGTGTTAAATAAATTCAATAAAGCTGCAGGATACAAAACCAACATACAAAAATCAGTAGCATTTCTATATGCCAACAGTGAACAGTGTGAAAAAGAAATTAAAAAGTGATCCCATTTACAATAGCCACACATAAAATTAAATACCTAGCAATTACCCAAAGAAGTGAAAGATCTCTGTAATGAAAACTATAAAACACTGATGAAAGAAATTGAAGAGAACACCAAAAAAATGGAAAAATATTCCATGTTCATAGATTGGAAGAATAAATATTGTTAAAATGTTTATACTACCCAAAGGATGCAATGCAATCCCTATTAAAATACCAACGACATTCTTCACAGAAATAGAAAAAAAATCCTAAAATTCATATGGAATCACGAAAGACCCAGAATAGCCAAAACTATCCTGAGCAAAAAGAACAAAACTAGAGGAATCATATTACCTGACTTCAAATTATACTACAGAGCTATAGAAAACAAAACAGCATGGTGCTGGCATAAAAAGAGACACCTAGACCAATGGAACAGAATAGAGAACCCAGAAACAAATGTACACACCTACACATTTTTGACAAAGGTATCAAGAACATACACTGGGGAAAAGACAATCTCTTCAATAAATGGTGCTGGGAAAATTGGATATCCATATGCAGAAGAATGAAACTAGACCCCCCCTATCTCTCACCATATATAAATATCAAATCAAAATGGATTAAGCACTTAAATTTAAGACCTCAAACTATGAAACTACTACAAGAAAACATTGGGGAAAATCTCTAGGACATTGGTCTGGGCAAAATTTTCTTGAGCAATACTCCATAAGCATAGTCAACAAAAGCAAAAATGAATAAATGGGATCACATCAAGTTAAAAAGCTTCTGCACAGCAAAGGATACAATCAACAAAGTGAAAACTCACAGCATGGGAGAAAATATTTGCAAACTATCCATCTGACAAGGGATTAATAACTAAAATATATAATGAGCTCAACAACTATATAGGAAAAAATCATAACAACCCGACTGAAAAATGGACAAAAGGTCTTAATAGACATTTCTCAAAAGAAGACATACAGGCCAAGCATGGTGGCTCATGCCTGCAATCCCAGCACTTAGGAAGGCCAAGGCAGGCAGATCATTTGAGGCCAGGAGTTCAAGACAAGCCTGGCCAACATGGCGAAACCCCATCTCTACTAAAAATATAAAAATTAGCCGGCTGTGGTGGCGCATGCCTCTAGTCCCAGCTACTCGGGAAGCTGAGGCAGGAGAATCGCTTGAGCCTGGGAGGCGGAAGTTGCAATGAGCCGAGAGCATGCCACTGCACTCCATCCTGGGTGACAGATTGACTGTCAAAAAACAAAAACAAAAAAATACATACTAATGGCAAAGAGGCATTTGAAAGTGTGCTCAACATCACTGATCATCAGAGAAATGCAAATCAAACTACAGTGAGGCTGAGCGTGGTGGCTCATGCCTGTAATCCCAGAACTTTGGGAGGCCGAGACAGGCAGCTTGCTTGAGCTCAGGAGTTTGAGACAAGTCTGGGCAACATGGCGAACCCCACCATCTTCCCATCTCTACTAAAAATACAAAAAGCAGCTGGGTGTGGTGGATGTACCTGTAGTCTCAGTTACTTGGTGGAAGGATGACTTGAGCCCAGGAGGCAGAGGCTGCAATGAGCCATGATCGTGCCACTGCACTCCCGCCTGGGTGACAGAACCAGACCCTTTTTCAAAAAAAAAAAGAAAAGAAAAAATAACTACAATGAGATGTTATCTCATCTCAGTTAAAATGGCTTATATCCAAAAGACAGGGATTAACAAATGCTAGTGAGGATGTGGAGAAAAGGGAACACTTGTACACTGTTGGTGGGAATGTAAATTAGTATAACCACTATGGGGAACAGTTTGAAGATCCCTCAAAAAGCTAAAAATTGAACTACCATATGATCTCAGCAATCTTAATGCTAGGTATATATCCAAAAGAAAGGAAATCAGTATATCGAAGAGATATCTGCACTCCTATGTTTGTTGCAGCACTGTTTACAATACCTAAGATTTGGAAGCAACCTAAGTGTTCATCAACAGATGAATGGATAAAAAAAATATGGTACATATTCACAATGGAGTACTATTCAGCCATAAAAAGAATGAGATGCAGTCATTTGCAACCATATTGATGGAACTGGAAATCATTATGCTAAGCGAAATAAGCCAGGCACAGGAAGACAACATTGCATGTTCTCACTTATTTGTGGGATCTAAAAATAAAAACAATTGAACTCATGGACATGGAGAGCAAAAGGATGGTTACAAGAGGCTGGGAAGGGTAGTGGTCGGTGGAAGTGGGGATGGTTAATGGGTACAAAAACATAGAATGAATAAGACCTACTGTTTGATAGCACAACAGGGTGACTATAGTCAATAATAACTTAATTGTACATTTTAAAATAATTTAAAGGGTGTAATAGGAGGATTGTTTGTGACTCAGAGGATAAATGCTTGAGGGGATAAACACCCCATTCTCTGTGATATGCTTATTTCACATTACATGCTTGTATCAAAACATATCATGTACCCCATAAATATATATACCTATTATGTACCCACAAAAATTAAAAATAATTTTTTTAAAAAAGAGTATTGTCTTGAAACTTGCTTTTCTTTTTTTGCTTGTTGTTGTTTTTGCTGCAAGTGTTTGGCATTGAAGAGTACAATGACTATTAGTACAGTTTGGCATCACTGCCTTGATTCATGCTAAGGTGTCAGCAGAAAATTGCTGGTCAGTAAAAACAACGTTGCTTGTGCATTATCAGTGCCATTGTCAAGACAATGAGAAAGCAAAATGACATATTACTATGAAAATAGTTTTTCTCTCTCAGACCCCTTGAAAGGGTGTTAGGACCCTAGAAGTCCACAGGCCACACTTTTGAACATAGCTGCTCTACATGAACCTCCATTGCTCCTCTACCCCAGAACTACTGCCTACGTCCCTAAAAAACTTTCCAAACCAACCAACATATTGTGTTCCTCAGATTAACATCTAACATGGTACTAGCAGCAAATATTCTGCTTCTACCTCCTGTAAATCAGTCATTTTTCTAAAGCATAGGTCTCTCTTCCCTTTGCTTCAAAATCTCCAAACAGGTCCAAGTATATATAACAATTTAGAAGATGAAGATTGCATTTTAAATCAATAGGGAAAGCATAGATTATTAAATAAATAGTGTGAGGACAATTGGGTAAACATTGGGAAAAATTATATTACCTTCCAGTATATATCAAAACAAGTCTAAATGATTATTGATTTAATTACTAAAAATTAAACCATAGATAAGTTGGGAATAAAGATAATATGTATCTGAGTACAGGATGGGAAGTCTTAAACACATAAATCCATGCATATCTGGTCAATTGATATTTGACAAAGGTGCCAAGAACACACAATGGAGAAAGAATAATTTCTTCAATAAATGATGGGAACACTGGATGTCCACATGTAGAAGAATGAAATTAGGCCCTTATCTCATAGCATATAAAAAAATAAACTAAAGATGGATTAAAGACCTCAATATTTGCAAATGATACATCCAATAAGGGGTTAATATCCAAAATATATAAGGAACTCAAACAACTTAGTAGAAAGAAAACAACCCAATTAACAAATGGAGAGAAAAATTAGCTGAGTGTGGTGGCATACACCTCTAGTTTCAGCTACTTGGGAGGCTGAGGTAGAAGGATCATTTGAGCCCAGGAGGTCAAGGCTGCAGTGAGCCATGATCGTGCCACTGCACTCCAGCCTGGGCAACAGAGTGAGATCCTGTCTCAAAAAAAATAAAAATAAAAAATGTACCAAAGACCTGAATAGACACTTCTCAAAAGAAGACATACCAACCGATATGACCAACAGATATATGAAAATGGCCAACAGAGATATGAAAAAATGCTCAGTGTCTTTAATCATCAGGAGAATGCAAATTAAAACTACACTGAGACATCACCTAACACCTGTTAGAATGACTACTATAAAAAAGATCAAAGATAAAAAGTTTTGGTAAGAATGTGAAGAAAGGAGAACCTATGTACATTCTTGGTGGGAATAGAAATTGGTACAGCCATTACGGCAAACAGTCGGAAAGTTCCTCAAAAAATTGAAAATAGAACTACCATGTGATCCAGCAATCCCACTTCTGGATATACATCTTTAAAAAAATGAAATCAGTATGTTTGTACTACCATGTTCATTGCATCAGCCAAGATGTAAAATCAACCTAAGTGTCCACCAACAGATGAATGAATAAAGAAAAAAATACATATCACATTATACAGATGCACACATACATACATATACAATGGAATACTATTCAGCCTTATAAAGAAGGAAATCCTGTCATTTGGATAAATTTGGAGATGGATAAACCAGAACCTGGAGGACATTATACCAAATGAAATAGACCAGGCCCAAAAAAACAAATTCTGCATGATCTCACTTGTATACAGAATCTTAAAAAGAACTGAGAGAGAGAGGGAGAGAATGGTTGCCAGGGATTGGAAGAGAGGGGAGGAGGAGATGGGGAAATGTTGATCAGAGGGTGATATGGTTTGGCTGTGTCCCCACCTAAATCTCAACTTGAATTGTATCTTCCAGAATTCCCACGTGTTGTGGGAGGGACCCAAGGGGAGGTAATTGAATCATGGGGGCCGATCTTTCCCATGCTATTTTCATGATAGTAAATAAGTCTCACAAGATCTGATGGTTTTATCAGGGGTTTCCACTTTTGCTTCTTCCTCATGTTCTCTTGCTGCTGCCATGTAAGAAGTGCCTTTCACCTCCCGCCATGATTCTGAGTCCTCCCCAGCCATGTGGAACTGTAAGTCCAATTACACCTCTTTTTATTCCCGGTCTCAGGTATGTCTTTATCAGCAGCATAAAAACAGACTAATAGAGAGGGTATAAAGTTTCAGTTGGACAGAATGAATAAGTTCTGGAGATGTACTGTACAGCATGGTGACTGTACTTAATAATGCATGGTATACTTGAAAACTGCTAAGAGAGTAGATCTTAAATGTTCTCACCACACACAAAAAATAAGTATGTCAGGTGATGAATATGTTAATTGGCTTAATTTAATCATTTCACAATTAAACATATATTAAAACATCTCATCGTGTACTATAAATATATACAATTTTTGTTAACTACACATTATTGAAGCTGAAAAAAAAACTTTGAAACTGGAAACTAATGGAATAATTGAATTTTTTTTTTTTGAGACAGAGTCTCCTTCTGTCACCCAGGTTGGAGTTCAGTGGCCCAATCTTGGCTCACTGCAACCTCTGCCTCTGGGGTTCAAGCGATTCTCCTGCCTCAGCCTCCCAAGTAGCTGGGATTACAGGCATCCGCCACCACGCCTGGCTAACTTTTTAATTTTTTTTTTTAGTAGAGACGGGGTTTTACCATGTTGGCTAGGCTGGTCTCAAACTCCTGACCTCAAGTGACCCGCCTGCCTCAGCCTCCCAAAGTTCTGGGATTACAGGTGTGACCCACCACGCCCAGCTTATAATTGATAATTTTTTAAAAGCACTGTAAAATATTAAAAGAACCCAGTGCTTTGGGAGGCCAAGGCAGGACAACATAGCAAGACCCTGTCTCTACCAAAAGTTTAAAATTTTAAAAAAATTTACTGGGTGTGGTGGTGCATGCCTGTAGTCCCAGCTACTTAGGAGGCTGAGGCAGCATGGTCACTTGAACCCAGGAGTTTGAGGCCGCAGTGAGGTAGGATCACACACTGTTCTCCAGCCTGCGTAACAGAGCAAGACCCTGTCTTGATTAAGAAAGAAAAAAACTTTAAAAATTAAAAGGTAAATTGAAACTGGAAAAAAAAGTCACAATATATATAATAGACCAAAATTTAATGTTTTTAATATTTGCAGTCTGTGATAGTTTGGATGTTTGTTTACTCCAACCCTCATGTTGAAATTTGATCTCCAAAGCTAAAGGTGGGGCCCAATGGGAGATGTTTGGGTCATGCAGGTAGCCCCTCATGAATAGATTAATGTCCTCCCTTGGGAGTGAGTCAGTTCTCACTCTTTGAGTTCCTGAGAAAGCTAGTTGTTAAAAAGAGCCTGGCCTCTGTCCTCCCTTCTCTTGCTTTCTGTCTTGCCATGTGATTTCTGCACACACAGGCTCCCCTTTGCCTTCCATCATGAGAGGAAACAACCTGAGCCCCTCACTAGATGCAGATGCCAGGTCTTGAACTTTCCGGTCATCAGAATCATGAGCCAAATAAACCTTTTTATCTTTAGAAATTACCCAGTGTCTGGTGCTCCTACATAGCAACACAAAAGGTCCTAAGACAAAACCCTAACAGATTAATTAGAGAAAGAGATAGCCAAAATATTTGACTAGGTAATTCACATGATAATGCAAATTGCCAGTACATGTCCCTTTTCATGTTCAATCTTTCTTGTAATGAAATAAATGTAATTAAAATAACATTTTTATCCTACCAAACTAGCAAAGAGAGAAAAAAAACAATATTGCTGAGGGATCAGCTACCCCAATTCCCTGCTGGAGTCTGATTCCCCTCCCAAAAAAGTAGGCTGACTATAGTGACTTGCTTGATTAATAGGACAAAGCAAAAATGATGTCTTAAAACATCCATAGCCAGCTTTTAACAAGCCTGTAGCTTCTGCCTGGACCGTTTGTTCTTGGCACACTCTCTGTCCTTCAGAACCCAGCCACCATGTGTGAAAAGCCCAAGTCACATGGAGTGGGCAAATGGCCGGGAGGAAACATCTGCTTCCTATGTGGGTCAAGTTAGGGTAGCATCCTCAGCTAAAGAAGTGTGTGTTCTTTCTTAGACGTGTTAGTCATTCAGGGTAAATGGACCTGAAATATCTCAGGAGGCAGTCAAGCCACATGTATTATCCATTCTCAGGCTGTCTGGGTTGTTAGTGGTGGTTTGTCTATATCAACTGGTCCACAAAAGACAAAAATGACAGCCAACAGAATAACAGAGAATGACACCTAAGAAAATAGAAAAGAGGAAGAAAAAATGAATTATACTTCTCTTTTGGAGCTCTCCTGTGAGAACAAAGCGGGGATTGATATTTTTCTGGGGACCAACTGATTGTGGCCATCAAAATTCTGAGTCCTGAGAGGCATACATTTTTGGCTATTCAGCATTAGGCAGTAAGTTATCCTAAGTAAAAACGTCTCCAGGAAAAGAGAAGAGAAATCAAACACTGTGCTTTTGGTAGCTGTGGATTTGCTAAGTTGTTCCTAGAGCAGCATCATGTTGCAAAAGAAGCAGTTTTCTAGGAATCAAGAGAACTAAGTTCAAGTTACTGCCAGAGAGGCAGAGAGGCCTCTACAGCTGATGAGAAATGGGTTTAAATTCTGGCTATGCCTGCTACTCTCTTTACAACTTTGAAAAGTCAGCCATCTAAACCTCTGCTTCTGTACCTGTAAAATGGAGATAAAAATACCTGCCTCACCATGTTGTTTGTGAGGATAAAATGAGATAATGCACGCACCATGCTCAGCATGTGCCTTACTCACATAGTAAGTGTCCCAAAATGGTGGGTCATTTTCTTGCTACTCTTGCCAGTGATTTCCTGTTTGATGGTGGGCAAATTGCTTAGCTCCTGGCTACACTGGAAAGGATGTTGCTTTCTCATCTACCTCCCAGAGTTAGTGTGGAGGTCAAATGAGAAAATGAACTGAAGGAAAGCAATGTGATGTGGTGGTAGGTGGGAGGCATCCAAGCTAAGCCTCAGGAAACAGAGGCTACACCATGGGGACAGGTCACTGAGGACCCAGAGGCAAGTGAGCAAGTGGAAAATAAGAGCACACACATAACACAGCAAGAAGCCTTTGAACACCCTTCTGGTTCCAGGAGCTTTATATGCCTTGATATCAGTTAATTTCCACAACCACAGTGTCGTGCAAATATTGTTACTCAAATGAGAAAACTGAGACTCAGCAAAGTTAAGTAGCTGTGCCAAGGTCACACTGTTTGTAGATGTCACAGCAGGTGCTCCATGTCTGCAGCTGAGAGAGGATGTGACGGCGCAAGTCTCTTGTCCTGCCAAAGGCTATCCTGGGCAAACCTGCAAAGGGAGGCTGCTTCCGGCTGGAGAAGAATGGTGCACTCAGAGCGCACTCTGCTCCGGTACAGGCGCTGATCCATGGGGATCCCACAGCCAGCACAATGGACTCTCTGGCTGAGCCGCCCGTGACCACCAGGGGGCCTTCACGGGACCTCTGCAAATAAGAACAAACTTGATTCCCAGGACCGGCTCGCATCTGAAGATGGCTTTAAGCCCAACGGTCAAACATGTCACTTTTACCTGTTCTGAGGACAAGGGCAGCACCTGCACCCTCCCACTCACCTTTACTAGCTCCAGCTGCCTCCCTCCCAGTTCTACCACTTGGCACAAGAAGCAGGAAAGAGTTCCCTACAACCCACTCCCAGACAGCTATTTCTACCTGCTGGATTACAACTTTCTCATTTTCTCTCTCTCTCTTCTTCTCTCTCTCTCACCCCTTATGAATAGTGTCCATAACAGACACCAGATAATTTTCATCCTATGTAATTGTATTCTTGCAGGTTTATAAAAAAAGCTCAGATCTTATCACCCTCTCCATTTTCTAGTTGCTATAAAATGGTATTTGCAGCACTCTTGACAAGATACATTTTGGCCAGGCATGGTGGCTCACACCTGTAATCCCAGCATTTTGGAAGACTGAGGTGGGTAGATCACCTGAGGTCAGGAGTTCGAGACCAGCCTGGCCAATATGGTGAAACCCTGTTTCTACTAAAAATACAAAAATTAGCTGGGCATGGTGGTATTTTATTTGTAAAAAAAAAAATATGAAAATAGCCTGCAACCCCAGCTATTTGGGAGGCTGAGTCAGGAGAATTGCTTAAACTGGAAGGAAGAGGTTGCAATGAGCCAAGATCGTGCCACTGCACTCCACTCCAGGCTGGGCAACAGAGCGAGACTCTGTCTAAAAAAAAAAAAAAGATACATCTCATCTTCAAGCATTTCCTGAATGCTGCTAAGGAGATGATAAACATCGATCACAGCTGATAAACATCTATGTGATAAACTACTTTGCAACCATCTATCTCTAACATAAGATCACATAACCATTGTAATAGGTCCAAAGCGCATTAATCTATTGAAATGAAATCATTTGTGCATGTGTTAGAGTTAAATAGATTCAGTTGTGCCAACAGAGAATTTCCTGATTTCCCCAGAAAGAATAATCTAAAACCATAGTTTTCAGCCTTGGCTGCACAATGGAACCACCTAGAAAACTTTAGAAAAACTGATGCCTGAGTCCCATCCCAAGTTTCTGATTTAACTGGCCTGAGATGTGGCCTGGGTGCCAGATAATCTAATGTGCAGCCAAGCTTGAGAACCACAGATCTAAAAGATGAGGGAAATTGGGCTCAAGGGCAATGATTAAAGAGCCAGGTCTGGACACTCCAGAGGAAGGAAGGTGAAAAGTGCTCTTCAGTGTGTTCAATCGACTTTCAGTTACCCATACTAATTGAAGAGAAGACTGTCACAGACAACTGTAAGATCTTAAACTTGAAAGTTCTTTTATAGTTGGGAAAGCATTTGATCTTATTTAAACCTCACCACAAGCCTGGGCAGTAGAAAGGTATCTATGCTTCTCTAATAGATAAGGAACAGGAGCCTCAAGAGAGTGAATGATTTGCAAAGATGTAAGTGGCAGAATAATTTCACCAGAACTATAATCCAGAATGTTCAATAGCCTCAAAATTCAAACAATTTTATCTAGACCGTTAAATTCCTTTTGTTCCCCTGAGTAAGAGCAAAATCTGCTCATGGGTTAAAAAACCAAGCCAACCAACCAACCAAACAACAACAAAAACAGGAAACTTTTTAAGATAAGATGGAGTGGCAGAGAAAAAACAAAAAAAACAAAACGAAAAGTTTCTCAGAAAGCAATAATAGTGAGCTGACTTCACAGTAGGGACAATGAGTGACTGTCATTTCTTCCTGTATATATCTACACCTGGGCAGAAGGTTGATATGGCCACGGACAGTTAGACAAAAAAACTTTCTCATTTTCCCACCCATGAGACCTTCAGTTGGAACCTTATTTGTCGTCTTTGAAGCAAGAATAAAAGTAGGATGGAAGCTTCTGCGAATTACCTTGATATGAGATTAAAGGTAATTTTAAGGTCTTTGGAAGAACTGAGATGATATTACAACAGTCATTTTAATATTAAGCTATTCAGATTTTCAAAGAGTACATCTTTTGACCCTTTGAGATTTTGGGTTGCTCTCTTAGGCAGAGCTTTGGGAGCTGATTTCAGGGTCGGCAGGGGCATCTCATATATTTTCCCATCCACTTTCTTGTAGCAACAACACCCCCCTTTCACTTCATGTGGTCTTAGTGGGGCTGTGATCTGGTGCCCTAGGTTCCCAGAAGGGCACATGATCCAGGCTAGGTCACTCTTAGTACCTCATTCCCCAGCAATAGTAACTGGTCCAATGGTGGTAGACATCCCAAGTAGGGGCAATCAAGGTGTATGTTGGTTACAGGTCAGTTACTCCAATATCTGCAGAGATAAACTTCAAATCTCAGTGGTTTAACAAATAGAAGTATATTTGTAATTCACATAAGAAGTCCAATATGGCCTTCCATGTGGTCATTCAGGGACCCAGGCCCCTTTCATCTTGTGACTACCCTCTCTTCTTGGGTCTCAGAGTCCTCTCCATTCAGCCAGCAAATGGGGAAAGAGAACAGAGAATCACTTTTGGAAGGTTTTTAATGGGCCAAACTGGAATGGAGGCTTTCATATCTGCTCACATCCTATTGGCCAAACTTGGTCACATGGCTACTGCCAAGGAAAGGGAGGCTGGAAATGCCATGTAATTGTGAGTTCAGCAGAACGAAAAGCAGGTTTGGTGACTAACTCGCCAGGCTCTGCCACAAGGTCTTCCTCTGGGATTAGTATATGGGTGTTGGGAGTGCTAAACTGGGGACACATCAGCCTGAACTACCAGCAGCCATCTTTTCTAGTTGCAGGGAGGGATGTGATCACACTAAAGAGGGGATTAAGAGTCAACCACTGGCCGGGCACGGTGGCTCACGCCTGTAATCCCAGCACTTTGGGAGGCCGAGGCGGGCAGATCATGAGGTCAGGAGATCGAGACCATCCTGGCTAACACGGTGAAACCCCGTCTCCACTAAAAATACAAAAAATTAGCCGGGCGTGGTGGCGGGTGCCTGTAGTCTCAGCTACTCGGAAGGCTGAGGCAGGAGAATGGCATGAACCCAGGAGGCGGAGCTTGTAGTGAGCTGAGATCGCGCCACTGCACTGCAGCCTGGGCGACAGAGGAAGACTTGGAGTCTCAAAAAAAAAAAAAAAGAGTCAACCACCACACAGAAGAAGACAGAGCTAAGAGATGGAAAAAAAGAAGGAGAAGGGGAGGAAGAGAAAAGAGACTGAGAGAAGGAGGAAAAGAGGAGGAGGAGAGAGAGCACATTCCATTGCGCTCAGGTTTGGTCAGTAACAACCCTGAACTTCCCGATTATGGGTGCCATCAGGACCAGCTACATAAGGGCAAAATTAAATTTGGAGACCTTTGTTAAAAAATCATTAATAATTTCAAGACAGCAAGAGTCTTATCTGGCTGGAAGGCTTATGGGTAACCACACCTCTGCCCCATTTCCTTTATAATTATTACCCATGGTGTTGTTCAGTAAATATTTGATGAGTAAAGGAATACATTCTTAGGTTTTTGACTACTGTCTGAGTGACATATCTTGAGTTACACAAACTGAAATGAGACATGAGCACCATAGTGCCTCAAAGAATGTATAATCTAATGAATGATACAGATGTATCATAATTGCCTCAGTGTTCACTCCTCTCTTCACTCTGCCTCTGTCCTAGGTAAGCTCTCTATGTTGGTGTCCCTATTCACCTATCTGTTAAGTGCATTTGTAAAGTACCTACTGTGTGCCCAGAAGATGGGGACACAGAAGTAAAAGACCTACTTCCTGCACTTAAGGATTTCACAAACTACTGGAGGCGGGGGAACAGCAAAGTGAGAGGAAGAAGCGACAGCAAAAGCATGTGCATTGACATCACTTTGTGATAAGTACAGTGATAGAGTAGTTGGGGACTGTTCCAAGAACACAGAAAGATCTATAATGCTGACAGCATGTGGAAGGAACTCTGGCTTCCAGTTCTAGGCAGCCACATAATGCCCAATCTGAAACAAAACATAATGCACCTCAATCCCTGGTCAAGATCAAGTGAGATGACATGAGTGAAAGCACTTTGTAAACTGTAAAGGGTCATTAAAATGTTAATAAAAGAGTTTCTTGATGACAAAGCCTTTTCTGTCCACAGCAATATTATTGGGCTGGCTTATTTGGATAAAGTACACATTTCCCCTGTTCCTTTTACAGTTTGGAGACTTTTTTTTTTTCCCTAGTGGCTTGATTTCTTTTCTACTAAGGAGAGGTTAACTTCAACTGTATCCCCCTTTGCCTTGGATTCTAGAGAGGCCTATGGCCCTGAGCAGGTGCCAGAAGTGGCTTCGAAGCAGTTAGCTGCAGTGCTCAGTTCACATAGAGAGGAACAGCTTGTTCCTGGAATGTAATTTTCCCTGAACCAAATCCTAGCTGAGTTGGGAGACTGAGCTGGAAAACTTCCAAGTTTTACTGCCGAGCTTTAAGAATATTGTGTTTGTTTCAACAAGGGAATTGTAACTAGAATGCAATACAATAAAATGTTTTAGAAAACACTTCCCAACCTCTATTGGCTTGTGAACACCTTTTACGGTTATATAAAAACTTGCACATTTTTAGAAACTTAAATTATTATTTTTGCCTTGAATATGATAAAGAAATAATTTTTGTTTTTGTCTTTAGCACCTTAATATTATAATGCTAATTTGATGCAATATGTAATAATATTTGTAAAGGGAAATAGATGTCAATTTCCCCTTTTAACAAATGAGTCAAGGTAATAAATCAAAATAATTTTCTAAAAATAATTTGTCTATGAATAAATTTTGAAGTAACATTGTGTTTTTTTGGGAGACCATATGAATATTAAGACATAGACTGAAATTTAACTATGTGATGAACAATGGCATCAAAAATAGACAAACTTTTTTCATTATCTGCTATTGGAATTCTTCAGATTTCCCCTGAGTTATTTTGATAAATGTTAGTGTTTTGTTTCTAAATGGCAAGAAAAAGGGAGAAGGTTTTAGGTTGCTATTTGCAAGCATGTCCTAGTAAATAAAACATATGATGTGACAAGTATTTTCATCAAATGAAAAGTCGGGTTAGATATATTGTCACTATCAATTTTTTTTTTTTGGGACAAAGTCTGGCTCTGTCGCCCAGTTGAAGTGCAGTGGTACCATCTCAGCTCACTGCAACCTCCACCTCCCAGGTTCAAGCGATTCTCCTGCCTCAGCCTCCTAAGTAGCTGGGATTACAGGCATGTGTCTCCATGCCCAGATAATTTTTGTATTTTTAGTAGAGATGCGGTTTCACCATATTGGCCAGGCTGGTCTTGAACTCCTGACTTCACGTGATCTGCCCCCCCACCCCGCCATGGCCTCCGAAAGTGCTGGGATTACAGGTGTGAGCCACCATGCCCAGGCCACTACCAATTTTTAACATTACGTTTCAAAGTATGAAGGAATCTTGGTTCCGACTATGGAAGAATTTTAATCAAATAACATAACGAGGATCTGAGTAAAGCGTATCATTAGGCTAATTTGCAGAATTTTTATCATTTGTGTTCAGTCACTAACTTATTGCATGTTAACATGAGTGTTCCGTAAGCACTCTATCTTTAAGCAATGCTTCATTATGGAATTACATAATACTATATGACCACTGTAAAACAAACTGCAAATAAAATATAATAAAATAACAACAACAAAAAAATAAACTGCAATTTTCTTGTCAATGTGTGGGACTTGATTAGATCCTTGTTCAAAGGAATAAACGGCAAGAATCATTTCTTGGGAACAGGGAAATGTGAATATGGACAGGGCATTAGGTAATATTAAAGAATCACTGTTAATTTTGTTAGGAGTGATAATGGTAGTATAGTTATATAGGAAGAAGTTTTTATTCCTATGTAGTGCATACTGAAGTATTCAGGGGTGAATTGTCACAACACCTTGGGATTTATCTTAAAATACTCCACACACAAAAATAAAGACAATATGGCCAAATGTTAGTAACTATTAAACTTTCATGGTAGGTATATGGGGCTTCTTAAACTTCTCCCTCTACATTTTTGTGTTTGAAGATTTTCATAAGTTAAAAAAAAAAATGTAGTCACCAAGTAGTACAAGCCTCCCACCCACGCCCTCTAGTGGCTAGTGGTATTGAGCTGGGTGCAAACAGGCTGGCTGTGGTAGTCTTGAACACACTCAACCCATCCCCTCCAAAATAACACCAGCCACTCATCAGATACTTACAAGGACACTCTCAAACTTTTTGTTCTTTTATTTGTGGTTATTGAGGTTTCAATAATAGTAATGGAAGCAGACCTCATTAGTCCCTTTAACAACCTGAATCCAGAGGAACAACTTCTGGACCCTCATGAATTTGAGAGCCACCAGCTGGGGATAGCCTGTAGTAGTCTGAGGAGTGTCTAAGGAGGGTGGTGGATTCTGTCCACATGCCTGCGGCTCGAAGGGAAGGTTTTCATTGGCAGCCAGTTACTTAAACTTAAGAAAGAACACCACATTGAAAGCCTAAGGTCTTCCTTCTCTTTGGGGAGAATAGGTACATGTAAGGTGATAGGGAAGGAGAAAAATAGACATTCTCTTATCCAGCCTCCTTTGAATCTCCCTCCAGGTTAACTACTTCCTCTAAAACATTTGCTGACCCACATCCAGGGCACCCGGAAAGCCCACAATGTGGAGGCCTTTTTCTAATCCTCCCCCAACACTTTTGCCCCTACCAGCTGAGCAGTCTGCTTACCAAGGGTCACTTCTGCTTGTTCCAAAACTCTTTTACGCCAGTTGTTCTTATTGTTATGATTAAAGTGCAAACCAAGAAAACTTAAGTGTAGAACTCCCACCAGACAAAACATATAGGTCACAAAAAAGCACAGCTTGGACCCACATCAAAAGTTTGGCAGCCAGGCACAGTGGCTCATGTCTGTAATCCCAGCACTTTGGGAGGCCAAGGCGAGTGGATCACGAGGTCAGGAGTTCAAGACCATTCTGGGCAACATAGTGAAACCCCATCTCTAATAAAAATACAAAAATTAGCTGGGGTGATGGCACGTGCCTGTAGTCCCAGCTACTTAGGAGGCTGAGGCAGAAGAATCACTTGAACCCGGGAGGCAAAGGTTGTGGTGAGCCGAGATCACGCCACTGCACTGCAGCCTGGGTAACAGAGTGAGACTCAGTCTCAAAAAAAAAAAAAAAAGTTTGGCAACCAAGTGAACTTTTTATGTCTTCAAATAAAATACGTAAGATGTTTAAGATGTATATTTTAAGTGATTCTCAACTTCTACCAATTACATTAATAAGCCAATCAACTCTTTCATCTTGATAGTGTTGGATCAGAGGTTTTCCACCATCCTATGATTCTCTGTCCAGATTCAAGTGAAAATCCAAAAAAACTTCAAAAGGGAAGTTCAAAACCAAATCATTCAAAAAAACTTTTTTCCACTGAGGGAATACACACTTTTCCCCCCTGTTGATTATATCTCCTCCGGGTATTTTATTTAGGCTACTATTAAGGTCCACTTGCATTTTCTGCATGTGTGCTGGTAGTTGAGGGTAGACACTTCCCCACCCATCCCCCTTACACCCCACTTCAACCCCAGAGTGTGTGGGAAGGCCTCCTGGCCTTCCAGATTTTCCATGGGTGATCCACACATTGGGTAATCCACATGCCCATCATCAAGGCCTAACCATGTTAGAAAAGGGAAGGACAATGAAGCTGCAGGAAGCTCTTCTAGAACATTTCACTCAGCTGCCTCAAGGTCAGTCAGGGGTTTGGGCATCACTTTCTGGAGAAAGCCAGAGAGCAGGTGTGACCAGCTGCAGAAAGCGGAACCCTGGAATTGAGAAACCTGGGCTCTTTAGGGCAGCATCTGAAGTCCTTGGAGCTGAGCCTCTGGAAGAAGCTGTTAGGGACTGGCCACAGCCCATGCGATGACATTGTGGCGTGGGGTAATGAGTAACCTACCTCCACCCCTAGCTACACTTCTTGGAGAGCAGCTTAGATTCTCATCCCACTGCCAAGGTAAGAGATGGATCAGGCCACAGGTAGGTAGAGATGTAGCCTTTGGACCTGTCCCTTCATAGCCCAGGATTCCAAACTCAGGAACAGACACTATTCATGCAGGAACAATCTCACTGTTCATGAGGAGCTGGCTGCAGTTAAAGGCAGAAGAAGTGTCCCTCTCTGAGCCTCAAGTTCCACATTTACTAGCTGAAGAGAGTGGATCTAAATGTCTCTCTGGTCCCTTCCAGCTGTGCCTGCCTATGAGGCTGTGTGTGACCCACCTGCAGTGGTGAGCTCAGCCAGTCACTAGCAAGAAGGCATACCAGCCAACAGGTCCCTTCTCATTGGGGATGGGGGTAGGGGGGTGAATGGGACATCCCTGAAATTGGGGTGAGAACCTAGGTCTTGCCAAAAGGCAGGGCAACTGTCCCCTTTTAGACAGAACCAGGAGATGAGGATGGGGCAATGGTCTGTCTTCCAAAACCTTGAATCTGCCAGTTAGGGAAGGGGCTGCTCCTGCAGACTAGCGCAGGAGAGGGAGAGGGCGGTGCCGCTCTACGACCTAACTCAGCTTTGTGGCCAGAGGAAGAGGATGGGGCAGGGAGTCGCTTCATTTTATAGCAGCGTCTTGGGATGGGGCCGCCTCTTGGGTCTCCTCGTCAGGCCTAGGTGGGGAGGTTCCAGGGCCCGGCGCTCCGGTCACCGGCCTATCATTCCCCCTGCAGAAGGCTCCGCTTCTGGGCAGGGAAGCGGCCGGGGTCAGTCGGCTTTGGGCGCCCGGAATTCGGGCATGCTCCAGGACCGCAGTGGCGGCGGTGTGTCCCGCTCCACGTCCTCGGAGATGGTCCTGATGTCGCTGGCGAAGGGCGAGATGCGCGCGCGGGTCTTGAAGGTGGCCAGGCTGCCGCGGGGCCGCAGGCTCCACTGGCGCGTCAGCTTGTGGGCCTCCTCTTCCTGCTTCATCCTCTCCAGGACCTCCTGCAGCACCGAGCGGAAGAGCTGGGACACCTCCTGCACCTCGGGCTCCTGCTCCGCCAGCAGCTGCCGGAACCTGGGCGGGAGGGGAGGGCGCTGGGGACATTCACCCACAACAGCGGGTCTGGCACCCCGGGCGTCTAACCCCGAGGGGCTGCCCGTGCATCCTCATGGCCAATTAGTCCACTCTACTCTGCTCCTGAAGCGAATCAGGAACCACCCCACGCTGCTACTGCTTCAACCAATCCTGCGTTCAAATCCCAGCTCTGCCACTTCTGGCCTCAGTTGGCCTCAGCCTCCTCGTCTGTAATCTGAGATGACAGCTGCCTTTGTGTGAGCTATAATGAACTAAGATATGTAAAGATCCTGACACTTACCTAAGGTTGTTGATGACGAAGCATTAAGGGGAGCCCTTTGCCGTGGCAGCCTTCTGGCTAAGCCTCTCCTGTCTCTTCTCCACCCACTGGCCAGCATGATCTTTCTGAAACCTATATCTGATTATGTCACTGCCCCTGTGATATTCCTTCCAGGTGAGCTGTTTGCCATGCACAGGGGTCCCCTGATACTTCCCTGGAAGACCCTGCACATCAGCTGGGAAGAATCACTTGTGGCCCCGACATGTCCCAGCTTCTCCCAAGGCCCTGTGTTTTCCCAAGCTGTTTACTCTGCCTAGGCTATCTTTGCTTAGAGCTCACAAGTTAATGTTAGCAAGTCTATTTAATACCAGGTTTCCTCCACCAGATTGAGAGTCAGGACTTCCCAGCAGTGACATGAGACCGGAAATGAGACAGGACAATCATGACCTGTGTGTACCCAGCCTTCCCCCTCACTTTTGAGGCTTGATTTGCCAGCCCAGATTCCCTTTTCAGCAGCTCCACCCCATGACCCACCCCCGTCCCCAGGTGCTTCTGGAATAGATACACTTTGGAGGCTTCCACAGTACAGAATCAGAGCTGGGGGAGAGTAAGGTTCTCCATCTGGAGGAAGAAAGGGGAGGGATGGTAAAAGCTCTGCAAAAACCAAGGAGTGTGGACGGGGCTGAAGAAGGTGAAAGGGGCTGAAGGAGAGGAGCTTTTGAAGGGAATTTCAAAGAAAAAGGTGTATAATAAATGCATATGTTGGTTAAAGGGATGGGTGAGGGAAGATTTTGGGAGACTAACAGGAGTTTTAAGATGTTTTATTGTGGATTTATATTCCTTTACAAAGAGAAATGTAGACAAAGAACTTGAGTTATTTTGAAATTACTCGATGCTTCCTTGACATCAGCACCAATCCTTCTGAGACAGGACCATGTGGTCACAGCTTCAGTAAGTCAGTAAGGTTACATTTATATTCAAGGAACATTGTTGTACCCAAGCTCTAAATGTGCAGTGCCCCAGGGTTTTGTTTGAACCCTTCCTACACACACACACACACACACACACACACACACTCACCTGTGGTCAGACTAGCATGAAAGCTAACATAAGCTAAGATAATTAAGAATCTGACTTTGGAGAAATGTCTGGAAAACTTCTCCGAGAAGGTAATATTGAAGATAAACTGACAAGAGAAAAGAAGCCAGGTAAGTTAAAATCCAGGACAATAACAATCTGGGCAGGAAGAAGAGAAAACTCAAAAGTATTGTGTTCTCTTGAATCAAAACTCACGCGCCTCCAGGAGCTGCCTCCTGCCTCCCGCTGGACCCCTAACCCTAGTCCAGCGTTTCATGGTCTCTTTCAGACTCCTTTTCCCCTCTTGCTCCTTCTAACAGATAACTAGGTCATCCAGGCTCCCTGACTCTAGTCCTGGTGGCCTCAGGCCCCTGCCACTGCAGCCACCTTTCCTGGAGCCTGCAGCCCAGCAAGGGTCCCCATCCCAGTGCTCACCTGAGGATAGCAGGCCCACAATAGGATGGGTGGATCTTAACGCAGACATCTTCCAGCTGCAACCGCTCAATGGGGCTGAGGTCATAGGTGGACCGGGGTGTGCTGGCCAGCCAGCTGTAGTCCACACCGGTGCAGACCTTTCTGACCGCATTGCTGCGCTCCCGCTGCTGCCTCTCAGCCTCTCGCATCTGCCCCGTCAGCTCCATCATAAGCGTCTCCAGCACCATCTCAGCAGGGCTCCTGGTGGACAGCCGGGATGGGGCCTCGTTCCACCGAAGCCATGAGATGAGAGACATAGCCCCTGGCCCTGCTGAGACAGGACAGATGTGCATCTTTCCTGGGCCCCTCTGTTAGTCAGAGTGGGGAACCTGGGAACCCAAGGGGGAGAGAGGAGAGCTGGGACCCAGGAGAGAAGACCTGCTCTGCCCTAACAGTTGAGTGGCCTCAAGTAGGTGGCTTAATTTCCCTGAGCAATCATTTCTAATTCTGTAAGACAAGATAGGGCTGTTGTGAGAAGCAGTTGTGAATAAACTTTGTACACTGTAAACATCACATAAAAGTAAGAGACTCTTGTGATTATGATCCTTAAAGCATCCCCAGGATTGTGCCCAGAGAAAGGGCCTCCTGAATCCTCACTAACTCCCAACAAAGCTGGAAACACATGGACTATGGCTGAGCACAAGCTTTCCCTATGACTTAAGGGGAACACACACACACACACTCAGAACAGATACATCCTATGTCAGTCTACCAGGAAAACACCCTCAGCTTCTAAATGCCTCCAGCCTATTGACGAAAGACACTTAGAACTCTATGGGGTTGGCCAGCCATGGTGGTTCACACCTGCAATCCCAATACTTTGGGAGGCCAAGATGGGCAGATCACCTGAGGTTGGGAGATCAAGACAAGCCTGACCAACATGGAGAAACCCTGTCTCTACTAAAAATACAAAATTAGCCAGATGTGGTGGTGCATGCCTGTAATCCCAGCTACTCGGGAGGCTGAGGCAGGAGAATTGCCTGAACCCGGGAGGTGGAGGTTGGGGTGAGCCAAGATCACACCATTGCACTCCAGCCTGGGCAAAAAGAGCAAAACTCCGTTTAAAAAAAAAACTGTATGGATTAACATTAACCTGAAAAAAACCAACTTACCCACCATTCATTCATTCAGCATTAATCAAGCACTGTGTACACATCTGTGGAGGGACATAAACACGAAAGGATGATGCCAGGATCCTGCTCTCCAGGAGAGGCAAGATTTGTTGAGTAAACGCTGCAACATCAATGGAGAGAGGGAACTCTGCTGGTGAAGCATAGAGTCAGCACTGATGTGGGAGGGGAAGGTGTGACCCTAGATGGTGAAAAGTGCCAGAGTGGGCTGAGAGGTGAGTGCGGGCTTCAGACACATGGGCTGATGGAGAAGGGGTCCCAGGTGGAGGGAGGATCCAGCCATAGAACAAGGTGAGACAGGTGGAGGTCTGACAGCAGCGAGCCTAACTCATCATGGAGCCCCCACACAGGCCTGCTAAATACAAATTTAGTGAAGGACAGACCGAGTAGATGAATGAACGAATGAATGAATGGGTGAATGAGCTACTCCATGACCTGTCAGATGTGGTCTGTGCTTCTGACAACAGTGAAGGGAAATGACATTCCCGAGCTAAAGCCTGAAGTGGGTCTTCGAGGGGTCTCACTTCATCTTTCTGCACCTTTCTCCCTCCAAGCCGTTCCCCCTTCCATGCACCAATGATCCCATTTCTGCTTAGACCCTCCATACGCAGAGAAAAGAGGTCAGATGAACTCAGTCTCAACAGCATGGTGATGAAGGAGGTGTCACCTCCAGAGGACACATGCATTTTTAGGCCACCCTCCCATCACCCTGCACCCCAGTGCTTAATGCAGAGAAATGAATTGTTAAGGTAAATAATCAGACACAAAGGAGAATATTATGATGGGGTAGCAGCAGCCTTCTGGAAGGCCACAGCTAAATCTCTACTTACCGATGGAGACTTGAATGACCAACTCCTTTAGCAACCAACAGAATTAAGAAATCTGAAAACAGGCCAGGCATGATGGCTCATGCCTGTGATTCCAGCACTTTGGGAGGCCGAGGAGGGCAGCTCACTTGAAGCCAGGAGTTTGAGACCATCCTGGCCAACATGGTGAAACCCCATCTCTACTAAGAATACAAAAATTAGCTGGGCATGGTGGCACATGCCTGTAGTCCCAGCTACTCAGGAGGCTGAGGCAGGAGAATTGCTTGAACTGGGGAGGCGGAGTGAGCTGAGATGGTGCCACTGCATTCCAGCCTGGGTGACAGAGCGAGACTCCAACTCAAAAAAAAAAAAAAAGAAATCTGAGAACTTTCATTCTCCACGCAACCTAAGCCTATCACCAATGGAGGCTTCAGATTACACAGCTGACCGCTTCCTGGGAGAGTGGGACGAAAGGACGAACCATTAGACCCTACTCCTGGGGTCAGTAGCAGCTAGGACGTTTACTTCTTAGCCCTTACCTGCTTTATGTGCCCAGAATAAAGAGGTTGGGTAGTACTGTGTGTACTGGGGGGTGGGAGTGCAGGGGTGGGGGTGTCATGGCCAGAGAGCCATGAGCATCAGGAGCCTCGCCTAAGGCTAAAGGATTCCATCAGTTCAGGCACAAGGACTGTAACTGTAACTGAATGTGTCACTTTCCCTGGAGTGTTTGTATTTTTAAAAGTCTATGGGTTAGATTGATGCTTAGCACCAAAAGAGTGAATGGTGTAGCCACTGAAGAGCACTGCGAGCATGCGGAGTCACTGTTCCTGCAAGGGCTACTGAATGTGCTGGGCTACTGCACAGCTCCATGCCTTTGTCATGTTCCTCCCTCTGCCTGAAATGCCCGCCCATTCTACATGGAGACCAGGTCTAGGGTCAGCACCCTCGGAAGCTTTTCTTGACCTTCCCATCTCCGAGGTAGATGTGGCCACTCTCTACCTTGTCCCCTGACTGCACTCTGCACAGGTGCTTTTCAGAGCTCAGGAGCACTTTACGGAACGTGACTGCCTACCTCCCCTGACCCCGGGTGTGGTATGTGGTCAGGGCCTGTGCCTTATTCACCTTTCCATCCCTGGGGCTGGACATGTAGTCAGTAGGCACTTAATAAATAGCAAACAAATGAATGAATGAATGCCCGAACAAAGGAACGAATAAATGATGGAGAAGCTATAACAGTTGGATCAAGGAACAAGCCCCACAGACCTGACCTGACCTGATCCTGAACAAGAAGGCATTTTCCAAAGCTCCTTAGGGAGCTTTTTTTTCTTCTTAATCTGGGTTTGAATTTGAGCTGAAAGAAGAGAGCAAGAGAGTGGCTTGGCAGCAGAGGGTTCTCCTGTGGCCGGGAGAAATGTGAGAGAAGAAATGGAAGACACTGAAGAAAACTTTTGCCTCCAGGGCAAATTGACTGCAGAATATCCATGCCACAGCCACATAAGCTAACAAACTATTAAATAAAGTATGTTCCGTTTCCTCCCTTGTGAACTATACCTTCCTAACAACATGGAGGGTGAGATTCAGACAGCATTCTTGGACTCCTCAGAGTTCTTCTCTGACACATGGAGGTGGGTTGGGACTGCTCTCGGCCCTCAGCCTGCCTCCCTCTCTTCCCACCTCCGCTTCATCCCACATGGTAAGGGGCCTTGCAAACACGTGTGGGGACACCCCAGCTTTCACCTCCAAGGCCCAGCCACACCCCTGCAACCAGCCACCTCTGTGCCACCCTCTGACTTAGGGTTGCTCGCTGGCAGTGCTGTCTGCCCTGCTCAGTGGCCCCTTCTGTGGGGAAGTGGGCGGGCGACTGTCTGGCAGGGAATTCTGATTTCAGTCCCTAAGCCTGACCTCGAAGGGAAGTGCCCACAGGGTGGCATGTCTCCTGGACCCCCAGACACTTCACCTCAAGGCAGAGTAAGGCCAGAAGCAAGCCCGAGTACAGTCTGGGGTGCAGCCTGTATGGGGTCCTGCTTCCCTGGGCTTAAGGCTCCCGACCTGAGCTGGCCGCTAGAGAAGGTGCTTTGTGACCCACCTCCCCCATCTCCAGATGGCAGGGGCTGAGTGGAGTGATCCCACCTGAGTCCTGAATTTTGTGGGCTCTAAGCCTCTTTGGCCCAGGTGTAGGGTCTCAACAGGGGAGGAGGGTGTTCTGAGTCATCTCCTCCCCATCCCCTCACTTCCCGCAACTCTGGCCAGGACTGGAGGCTTTGGCAGAAACAAGATTTCTGCTGGTGCTATTTCTGTCCCCAGTGCCAGCTGCTCCCCCAGAAGGCTCTTCAGTGGGTCCGATTAAGTTCTTAAGGGCAAAGGAGGGAGGGAGAGACAGAGGGAGGAAGAACAGAGACAGAGAGGCAGGAGGGCAGGCTAGACAGACTCCAGAGGGGGCTGCCTTATCCCAGGGTATCCCCAGAACCTGAACCTCGGCTGAGACTGGGAAGGACGTGGTGCCTGGGGGAGGTCTGTTAAACAACAGAAAGAGTGACCTTTGGTGAGTGTCTGGCACAATTTTCTACACTGCCTGGCTCCAGATTCACCACCGTGGCAGAGCCAACTCCTCAGTGTAAGCCCCAAGGCCCCCGCACTTGGCTCACCACCTGGCGAGTGGCAGCGCCATGGTGACCTCAGAGTCTTCCCATGATGAATGGTTCCCACTCAGTCAAAGGCACTTACAACCTGCCTCAAACACATGAACACTGATTGAATCCTTGTTTTAAAAAATTAGGATAGGCCAGGCACGATGGCTCATGCCTGTAATCCCAGCACTTTGGGAGGCTTGAGTTCAGGAGTTCGAGACCAGCCTGGGCAACATGGTGAAACTCCGTCTCTACCAAAAATATAAAAAATTAGCTGGGCGTTGTGGCATGCGCCTGTAGTTCCAACTACTCAGGAGGCTGAGGTGGGAGGATAACTTGAGCTAACTTGAGCCTGGGAGGTAGCGGTTGCAGTGAGTTGAGATCGCGCCACTGCACTCCAGCCTGGGTGACAGAGTGAGACCCCATCTCAAAAAAAAAAAAAAGGAGATACCCTTTATCAAGTTAGGAAAGATCCCCTTCTTTATATTTAAAAGAAAAAAAGGCTGGGTGTGGTGGCTCACACCTATAATCCCAGCACTTTGGGAGGCCAAGGTGGGTGGATCACCTGAGGTCACGAGTTCGAGACCAGCCTGGGCAACACAGTGAAACCCCGTCTCTACTAAAAATACAAACATTAGCTGGGCATGGTGGCGGGCACCTGTAATTCCAGCTAGTCGGGAGGTGGAAGAATCGATTGAACCTGGGAGGCAGAGGTTGCAGTGAGCTGAGATCGTGCCATTGCACTCCAGCCTGGGCAACAAAGAGAGACTCCGACTCAAACAAAAAAAAATTAGGATAACTGAGGAAATCTGAATATGAGCTGGATGTTAGAAAATAATCCATGGGGCTGGGCACGGTGGCTCACATCTGTCATCTCAGCACTTTGGGAGGCCGGTGCAAGTGGATCACCTGAGGTCAGGAGTTCGAGACCAGCCTGGCCAACATGGTGAAATCCCGTCTCTACTAATAATACAAAAATTAGCCAGGCATGCATGCCTGTAATCCCGGCTACTTGGGAGGCTAAGGCAGGAGAATGGCTTGAACCCGGGAGGCAGAGGTTGCAGTGAGCCGAGATTGCACCATTGCACTCCAGCCTGGGTGACAAGAGCGAAACTCTGTCTCCAAAAAAGAAAAGAAAAAAAGAAAACTATCTGTGGAATATTGGCCAATAGCTCAATCTTAGGAGGTGCTGAAGTGTTTATGGGTGTCTACAATATCTTACATTCAAATAGTTCAGAAAACATTACATAAATATGTATACACACACCCCATAAACAGGATGTTGGGGCTCAGAAACCAATATCCTAAGATATGGCATTTGGACATGCTGAGCTGAAGAAGCCTCGTGGTCTCTCTGGCCCTCCCCACGGCCACCGTCTCTTCCAAAGCCTTTGTCTGCCTAAGATCCAGATCCACCAAAGGGAACAATGGTTTTTTTCTTCCCCTTTCTTAAGACCGAGAATGAGCCCCCACCTGAACAGACCCTCTCCCAGGATAATGTACAAGTTCATTTCTGATCCCTGCCCCGTTCATTCTCCCTAGTAATCCTCTCACCAGAACTGCTGTTCTCCCCCTCCCATAACCTGCTTTGCCAGGATGATATATAAGCTTCCGAACCACAGTGTGGGGTGAGCAGTTCCTCTGTGATTCTCCCCATGTACGCGTTTGTGATAAATGTGTACGCCTTTTCTCTAATTAATCAGCCTTTCTTGAGTTGATTTTTAAGTGAACCTTCATAGGGCCAAGCCCTTGGCCCCTACAAGAGCAAATATGGCAAAATATTAGCAATTGTTGTATCTGGGGGATATTGATAGATATTTATCACACTTTTCTGCATGTTTATGCATATTCAAGTTTAAAAGTTGGGAAAGCTCTACCTCAAAACTCACTTGTGCAGGAAGCCTTCCTGATTCACTCTACCTGATGGCCTGCGTTGTTCCTCGGGACCCCTGCCTGCAGTCCCTATTCTGCTCATTTCTGCTGCTGTGTCTTTCTTCACCCACGAGCCTGGGCATCGAGGCCTTGCACAGTGGCGTGTGCGGGGAGGGCCTAGGGCCTGGAGACTGAGGCGCAGGGCTGAGTTCTCATCCACTCACTCGCTCAGCAGACACAGGAGGAGTGTGTGACCTGCCTGTCGCTGTGCTAGGTGCTGGGACTCCCTCAAGGAGTGTACACTCAAGAGAGGGGGGAAAACAAGCAGACAAGCAATTGCGATGCCACCAAAGGCACAGCTCTCCTGAGTGGAAAGGGACTCCTGGGCCTCGGCTGTGTAAGCAGTGCAGGGTGTGCCCAGGAAGTGCCTGCCCCTGTTCTCTGCATAACCGCTACTGCTCATTAACCAGCGAGGCCTTGGTTTCTGCATTTATAAAATGGTGTTCAGACACCAGCTCAGCCCACTCCACAGGGCTTCTCTGAGACTCGGGCAGGAGACAATATGTGAAAACATTCAGTAAACTATACAAATCCTGTGCAGTGATCAGGGGTTGTAATTCTTATGAGACACAATCAGGTGGCTAAAAAGTTCACCTGGAGGCCGGGAGCGGTGGCTCACGACTATAATCCCAGCACTTTGGGAGGCCAAGGCAGGCAGATCACTTGAGGCCAGGAATTTGAGACCAGCCTGGCCAATATGGTGAAACCCCATCTCTACTAAAAATACAAAAATTAGCCAGGTGTGGTTGCAGATGCCTGTAATCCCAGCTACTCAGGAGGCTGAGGCATGAGAATTGCTTGAACCCGGGAGGTGGAGGCTGCAGTGAGCCAAGATGGTGCCACTGCACTCCAGCCTAGGCGACAGAACAAGACTCTGTCAAAAAAAAAAAAAAAAACCCACCTGGAAAGAGGTCTTGAAGGCTCTATAGAGAGGAGACAGATGACCAAATGCAATGATGACACAAAACAAGAAGAAAAGAAATGAAAGCCAGCTAGGAACATGGGCTGGGCCCTGCTTGTTAAGACCCCTATCCATCTTGGGGTCCTTAGTAAGAATCTTTGGGCTGCGTTTCCCTCTTTTGTCTGGGAGCCGGGGTGGGGACAGAGTTGCTGCTGTCCATTGACACATACATGCCTTCCGTTCCCTCTCCCCATATTCCCTCCGTGGAGTCTGGGGCCTGGGGTCCAGTACCATCCCCACTCTCACCCCCACTCACCACCTCCACTGCTTTTGACCTCAGATGCATGCTGGGTGGCCTGGCTGCACCCCCACTCCGCCTCTACTTGATCACCAGCTCAGGTGGAGCAGGCTGGGCTTGGGGAGACAGTGCAGCCTTCAGCAGATAAAACCTGAATTCAGTTCCTACGCCCTTCCCCTCCCGTGTATGCTGCCTTTGTCCAAGTCACCTTCATGGCCCCAAGCCTCAGTTTCCCCAATCTATAAGGGAATAATAAAGGTACCTATTTCAAGTTACTGTGAAAATCAAATGAGATTATGTCTTTGTAAATGTTTTATTTTTATAAACTAACAATAAGCTGATTCACCTAGATCAGTGGCTACCATTGTCGCTTAGTACAGATTCTTACCCTTGGGTCCTAGGGAAAATTCAGGGATTTATGAACTTGGGTGGGGAAAAAAGTCATCTTTATTTCCACTAACCTTTAACTGAAATGTGGTATTTCTTTAGTTATGAATGAGGGTCATAGACCACAGTAATATCAGTAGCCCCATGGCTTTATCTCCAGCAGAAACCACAGATTTTTCACAAAATGCTTTAAAGTTGTTATTCTTGAATTATCTGGTATGCTCATCACTACTATGAAATTGTGGCATTTATTAGACTTGCTACTAGGTTTTATTATTTCACATGTTGATAGGGAAGCACACATATTATTATATCATAAATCATTTTTTCTTTCTTTTTTTTTTTTTTGATAGCTGCATTTCAATAGAGCTTGTTTCCTTTGTACCCCAGTGAATTTACTTTTATGCATTTAGAAGCATTTTTCTAGGAACGTGTCCACAGGCTTCACAGACTCCCAAAGGGGGCACAAAAATAAAGGATCCCCTGGCTTGGTGCAAGCTTGACCCCAACTTTGTTCCTGGCCTTCCCCAGCCCTGGCTTCTGGTCACCGTGTTGGGAGAGCTGAGCCTCCCTGTTTCAAGAGAAGGCCCAGGTGGTGAGGCCTCAGGTTTACAGAGCAGAGTGGATGATGGGGAAGCCCTCGCACGTTCTGTCTCTGCCTTTTGGTGTCACTCACCCACGCCCGTTATCTTCCATTCTCTGATCTTCTCTTTCCTCTTTCCTTTCTCCTTCATTACCCCTTCCACCCCCACACTCTCAGAGCCTTCCTTTCAGCCTATTTTTGAACATCCCTGAGGATAATGTCTTTTCTGTGGCTCCTGGGAGGCGCCACTACCAGCTGTGGCTCGTTAGCTGTGCTGGAAAAACTCTCGCGTTGTGCCTCAAGGGCAAGAGGAGTCTCTGGTTCCACTTGGCACTCAGAGGGGGACCAGGGATGTCTCAATGGTGGGAACAATGGGGAGTGTGACCTTGGAGCTGGAAGCAGGGCTCTGACCCCCTGCAGGAGGGATGAGAGTGCCCTCACCTCTAGTGAGAACTGAGGCCCTGCGCCGGCCCCAGCCAAACAGTGAGGGCGTGCAGACCTTGCCCAGGAAGGCCAATTTCTCAGTGCAAAGGGAGCCATGGCCAGGGAACCCGGCCCGGGTCCTCCACCTCTGAAGCTGAGCTAGGCATCTGCAGGCCAGGGTGAGGGGCTGCCCTGTGTGACCCGCCGGACCCAGGCATAGAGCAGCACCTGAGTCAGGCTGTCCCAGAGCACTGGCAGCTTCACTGCAGGGGCAGGCTGGCTCTGCTGACGCCAGACGCTCAGTCTGGGCAGAGACTTCTCAGTGGGGGCAGAGAGTAGGTGCTTCTCTGGCTAATCTGCCTCCCAGCTCTGTGTTTGATAAGGCCCAAGTCCAACTTTACAGATTGCAAATTGACCTTATTTCTCTTTGGCATCACAGAAAAACAACCTATAATCCACCAAGCCAGATATGAGCGGGCCTGACCTGTGGATCCTCTGCCCACCTGACAGACATCTGCTCATTTGTCGGGAACCCCTCAAGAGACAACTCCTCCCTGCAGCCGGCCCCTCACTTCCCCCCACCCATGGAGCACTGATCCCAGCCACCAGGGCCTGACACAAGGGCCCATCACCATGGCATCTAGCAAACACGTTTCTCACGCTTTGGGTTGTATTTATCTCTTCCCCACCTAGCTATGAATTCTGCAAGGGCGAGAGGAATGTGGGTTGAATCTGCTGCACATGGTAGCACTTGATAAGCGGTTCCTGAATGAATGAGTGAATGGCAGCCAGTCCTTCCCATTCTGAGGCAGAGGTGCAGCCAGGAGAGGGCGTGTACACAGGTCTGACTGACCACAGTGGGAGGGGACTGACCCTCATCCCTTGGTCGCAGCTGGACTTTCCTTCTAGGCCCGATCTCCCTGGCGCCCCACCCTGCACCCATCTGCCTGGGCCCACTCTCCTGGGCATGTTATCAGGGATGCACAGACTGCTCCATGTTCGAGGGGACTGAGGCACATCCATCACCCTCGTGCCCTGGGTGCTGCTGCATCCCCAGAGCCTGACTCTGTGCCTTGGACTTAGTAGATGCTCGAATCACAGTTCGCAAACCCATGCAAGAGTCTCTGATTTGGGTTTCGCTTTCCTTCCCCCTGCCTGTGTCCACTCTATAAAGGCAGAAAGGAACCTGCTGGAGCTGGGTCCTCCCCGAGAGGCTTGCAGTTCCAGAACAGGCAAAAACAATGGCTTCCCACAGGTTTACAAAACAAGGAGCAGGCTATAGCCCCGAGGAAGCTGCAGGACCCTCATCGGTTCCAACTCCTGTGGAACTGATGAGGACTAAAGGGGCCTTCCTGTGGCCATCTGGGTCCCGGAGGTGGGCGGCTTTCTAGGCTCCCCAGCCTGCCACACCCCTTGAGGCCACCCCACCCAGCTTCAAGCCTCAGCCCTAACTTCCAAAGGTGCAGCTGTGCCAGGGTGCGGGTGGGGAAGACACTGTCTCCTGGGGAGACCTCCATCTTACCTCTGAGGTCAGCCTCTGCTCAGGTGCAGCGTCACAGCAGGGGGCCTGCGTTCTGCTTCCCAGTCTGGGAGAAGAGAGTGTCTGGATATTTTCAGGAAAAAAAAAGAAAGTTGAGCAGCCACAGCAGGGCAGGGCAGTCTACATCCTCAAGTCTCCCTCAGCTTCTCTGCTGCTGCCGGCTGGCCTCAAATTTTGCCTCTCTTTGGTTCTCTGAGAAGTTTTACCAAGAGAAGAGACAGGAGGAGAGATCCAGCCTGGACTATTGTTTGTGGGGTGTGTAGGTGTGTGTGTGTGTGTGTGTGTGTGTGTGTGTGTGTGTGTGTGTATGCGTGTATGTATCCCGCGAGGCTGGAGCCACAGCTTCCCTGATGAACCATGGAGGCGGGCCAGCTCCTGAGCTGCGGTTGCCCTGGAGACCCACCTAAGCCTCTTTGCCTGGAGCAGCATTATCTGTAGAGGGAGTGGCTGATCTGACACAAAAGCCTGAGGCGACCCAGGCCCAGGCAGTGAGGGAGCACTTGTGTCCAGATGGCATTCTGTCCGCTTCCTCCTCCAGCCGGTGCTCAGTGTGGCACAAACTGGGCAAGACCATTCTCACCCAACCCTCTGCTGAGCCCTAGGTGTACCTGCTGTTGGCAAATGTTTCCAGCTGCCTGGTGGGTGGCTCCTGGATGGAGATCCCCTCTTTCTATCAGCTCCCTCCTACAGGGAAGGGGTGATTCTGGGTGCTGAGGACAGGGACCTGTGAAGATACATCTCCGCCTTTGCCCCACCACATCCCTTGCCTGTCTTCCTCTCTGCTTATCTAAATTATTTCCTTCCCTCAAGGCAAGCTCAAGAGCAGACAGTTCTGACTTTCAGAAGGAGGGGCTGTCCAGGGAGAAGAGGAACATGGAACAGAAAGCATTGACGTTGAGGTATTTGAGATAACATTTGGGGATAGCAGAAGCATCCTGTTGCTGTTCTGCAGCATCCCACACTCATGTCTGGGCCTCCTTCCTGTCTCTGCTCTCTGGTCACGCTGTCACTTGTAGACTGTTCTGCCTAGAAGCCATGTGTGGGCCAGCTTGCACCTAACAGACATTAGGTAGCACTAAAACAGATGCACACTGCCCTGTGAGGGGCATGGGAATACTGTAATGGGCATGAAGCTGCATTATAATAGATCTTAGGTAATCCTGTGCTGGGTGATAGCGTGACTTTTGCACACATCTGGTTTTGATTGTGTTGGAAATAAAGCAGAAAGTACAACCAAGAATAAATTAAACAATGGCTGATGAAATGGACTCAGGTTGCCCACCTGCCTGCCTGCATGATTTCGTCCCTGGGTGATTTGTCACTTCGTGCTTGCTCTGTGGCTGGTTCCACTCAGCTGGTTCCATCCGCCTTCCCTCTTCATCCATCAAGCAGGCAAGATTCTTGAGTCAGGAGTTGGATCATATACTTCTCTTGACCAGTTCACAGCACGACAGCCCCAAAGATTGAGTGGGTCACTTGGGGATGGAAGATCCCCACATTTGAGGGAGCTGAAGCTGACTTCCTCTGACCCACAGTTCCCAGGCGGCCTCCACCTCAGGGCCAGCTAAGGCCAGAGTCACCCAAAGCAGGTAACTGGGAGTCCCCACCTCTGAGCACCCCACCACTATCCTGGCACTTTCCCAAGGGGCGTGGCTTGGAGGTCCAAGGGCAGAAATTCCCAGGCATTTCCACACTGTAGGGAAGGGAGCAGGGGGATGACAAGACTTTACCTTCCCTTTAGGAAAGTTGCTGGAGGCAATGAGGAGAGGAGGGCATGGACTAAGTCACATGCTCATCTGTGCAGCACGTATTTCTAAAGCACCATTCTACAGGGGCACCAAGCTAGGAGCTGGCTGAGCCTGGCTCTCCTCTCTGCACACATCCCAGCCAAGCCTGTGTGTGCTGGATTGCTGGATCAGATGAGGAGGAGGTGGAAGTCTGGCAGGCAGGTGGGGAGCAGGGACAGCATTAGGGCCCAGAGTTAAAGACTTTTATCTCCAAGTAGTACAACCTTGGGTCTGCTACTGACCATTCTGTGTTTGAATAAAAACAATTCATCCCTTTTCTATAGCCATGCTTTTGTATTAATATCTCCCCTTCTAATGCACACACAATGAATGTAAATGAGATCATAGAGGCCAATGTCTTGAGCCATCAGAAAGATTTTGTCGCAGCAGCTGCCAGATGAGCTTCAGGACTCCTGACCCTGGGATGCCAGGGAACAAGCACACAGACGACTTATAGCAGTCTCCCTGGCAGACGCAGCTGGCCCCTCTCCTGCATTTTTCAAATGGTGCCTGTGATTAGAAGAGGGAGGCACTCCCTAACCCACGACCCTCCCTGACAGCTGCCTTGATACCGTAACTCACAGGCCTTGGTGGGTGTGTTGACTCCTCATTTATTCTGATTTGTTCACCTGTGGAGGATTTGTGATTATCCTTGCTGAGTGTGAATTTGCTCTGGGGAGAAAAGGTGGCGGTTGTTTTTCTCTTGTTTGGCGTGGATGGAAGTTGCTGAAGCATAGATATTCAGCAACCATCAAATGCAGAAACACCGGTGGGGCCCGCAACATTGCCTCATAGATGGCATTTGATTAATAAATTGGAAATGTGGAGTTATGAGGCGATTACATGCAAGGCTGGATTAAAATCCGCATGGAGATTAGAGATAAGCCCCGGCTCTGCGTGTGTGTGTGTGTGTGTGTGTGTGTGTGTGCACGCGCGCGCTCCGTTCTCTCCTCCCTGGAGTCTTTCCAGGCTATTTCAAACCATTTCTAACCACTCAGTCATGCGTTGGGTTTTCCAAATCCTGCAGAAGGTCTGTGTAGCCCTAATCCCAAAGAAGTTGAATTAAATGGACAGAATATTCATAGGTACAGACCAGATTTGCAGTTACTTAGACCTCTTCTCTCTGGGCATCCCTCTTTCTATTCCTGTGGTCACATTTCCTCTCCAGGTGCTACGGACTGAATGTTGTGTCCTCCCCAAAATTCAATCTTGAATCTCCCAAGGTGATGGTTAGGAGGTGGGACCTTTCGGATGTGATTAGGTCGTAAGAGGGGAGCCCTCAGGAATGAGATTACTGCCCTTGTGAAATGGTCTCAGGGAGCTTTTTGGCCCTTCTACCACGTGAGGACACTGTGAGAAGATGCCTCCATCAACTAGGAAGTGGGCTTTCAGCAGACACTGAATCTACTGGCACCTTGATCTTGGACTTCCCAGCCTCCAGAGCTGTGAGAAATAAATTTCTGTCATTTATAAGTCACCAGTTTATGGTATTCTGTAATAGAAGCCTGAATGGACTCAGACATCAGGTACAGGAAGCAATGTGTCTGACGGCAGGAAAAATGAGAATGCTCCCTTCCCTGCCAGCTAGCTGGGAATGAGGCATAAAGCACTTCTCATTCATTCATTCATTCACCAAGCATTTATTGGCTATATACTCTGTCTAGACTGCACCTTGACACTCCATTTCCATAGACTTCACTGACCACAGCTTCTTCTTCTTCTTTTTTTTTTTTTTGAGACAGAGTTTTGCTCTTGTTGCCCAGGCTGGAGTGCAATGGTGCGATCTTGGCTCACCACAATCTCCACTTCCCAGGTTCAAGCAATTCTCCTGCCTCAGCCTCCCGAGTAGCTGGGAGTATAGGCATGTACCACTACGCCTGGCTAATTTTGTATTTTTAGTAGAGATGGGGTTTCTCCATGTTGAGGCTGGTCTCGAACTCCTGACCTCAGGTGATCCACCCGCCTCAGCTTCCCAAAGTGCTGGGATTACAGGGGTGAGCCGCTGCGCCCGGCTACAGCTTTTCAGTTCTGCCCTGTAGTCTGATGGACTAATGTGAGGGCCTGTGGCAGAAACAGCTAGCTGTCCACCAAGAGTCACATTTCTCCTCCAGAGTACATGAACATGTAGTAGACATGTTCCTAGGAAGCAGCTGTCCAGCTGGGGACTTCATTCCCCATCCCTCCTCCCATCTAGGTGGGGCCGTGTGATGATAGGGTGTAGATGGAAGGGACATGAGTCACTTCAAGGTGTGGCAGGTAGACACCCCTGTGCAACTGTCCACCTTCCACCTTTCCCCTTTGCTGATCGTCAGCCAGGACTCTGAGGCCCTCGGGGTGGGGGAGACACAGTTTTGAAGGCGTTTAGGTCCCTCAATCACTTCATGAAAAGCTGCTCACCCATCATTCATGTTGAACTCTAATGTGTGCAAAAAATCATATGCTTGTTGGGTCAAAGCACTGAGTTGGGGTTTCTCTGTAATAGCAGTTGGCACCACCCAGCTCACAAAAAACCCTGTGAAAAGGGGTGGGTGTGGAAGTGCTGCCCTTTCCTAGGTTCCTGGACATCAGGGCTCTTCCTGACATGTTCGCCGCTGGTTTTTTCACCATCACCTTAAAGACATTACTTCATCCCCTGTTGTCTCATGCCCCTGTGCATGGTGCCCACTCTACCCAGAGTCCCCTCCTACCTGGGGAAGTTAACTTACCCCTCAAAGTTTAGCTTCATGGTAACCGCTTTGTGAATTATCCTCTGTCTGCTGCTCCCTCCTCTCCACTCTGAAGCCTCATTCTTTTTTTTTTTTTTTTTTTCTTTTGAGATGGAGTTTTGCTCTTGTTGCCCAGGCTGGAGTGCAATGACACGATCTTGGCTCACTGCAACCTCTGCCTCCTGGGTTCAAGCAATTCTCCTGCCTCAGCCTCCCAAGTAGCTGGGATTACAGGCGTGTGCCACCACACCCAGCTAATTTTTGTATTTTTAGTAGAGCCAAGGTTTCACCATGTTGGCCAAACTGGTCTCGAACTCCTGACCTCAGGTGATCCACCCACCTTGGCGTCCCAAAGTGCTGGGATTACAGGTGTGAGCCACTGTGCCCGGCCTGAAGCCTCATTCTTCCTTCTGTACACACAGTTGATCCTCATTACCTACCAAAGTACTGGCAAATTTGCCTACTCACTAAAATTTATTTGTAATCCAAAAGTCAATACTCATAGAACTTTTTTTTTTTTTGATGCAGAGTCTTGTTCTGTTGCCCAGGCTGGATGGAGTGCAGTGCTGTGCTCTCAGCTCACTGCAACCTCTGCCTCCCAGGTTCAAGCGATTCTCCCACCTCAGCCTCCCAAGTAGCTGGAATTACAGGCTTGTGCCACCACACCCGGCTACTTTTTTTTTTTTTTTTTTTTTTGAGATGAAGTCTCGCTCTGTCGCCCAGGCTGGAGTGCAGTGGCGAGATCTCGGCTCACTGCAAGCTCCACTTCCCAGGTTCATGCCATTCTCCTGCCTCAGCCTCCCAAGTAGCTGGGACTACAGGCACCCGCCACTACACCCAGCTAATTTTTTTGTATTTTTTTAGTAGAGATGGGGTTTCACCATATTAGCCAGGATGGTATCAATCTCCTGACCTTGTGATCCGCCTGCCTTGGCCTTCCAAAGTGCTGGGATTACAGGCGTGAGCCACCACACCCAGACTAATTTTTGTGTTTTTTAGTAGAGACAGGATTTCACCGTGTTAGCCAGGATGGTATCAATCTCCTGACCTGGTGATCCGCCCGCCTAGGCCTTCCAAAGTGCTGGAATTACAGGCGTGTGCCACCATGCCCGGCCTAATTTTTGTGTTTTTTAGTGGAGACAGGGTTTCACTGTGTTGGCCACGCTGGTCTCGAACTCCTGAGCTCAAGTGATCCCCTGCCTCAGCCTCCCAAAGTGCTGAGATTACAGGTGTGAGCCACTGCACCTGGCCTACTCATAGTATTAGATTGCTGTAAGAGTAATTGCGGTTTTTCCCATTAAAAGTAATTACTTTTGCGCCAACCTAATACTTTTGTGGTCATTCTAGACATGTAGAAAAATGTTAGTGACCTGATGGACTTGTTCCCTGCTGAGCTTGAACAAGGCACGCTCTGCCTTCTTGTTTCAGCTCTCATGATCTTAAGTGTCCTTTTCACAGTCTATTTAGTGCCCACTTTTCATACTTTGTGCTTTTTATTTGTGATTTTGATATCGAAAATGGCCCCAAAAGTAGTGCTGAAGGGCCTTCTAGTGTTCCTAAGTGCAAGGAGGCAGTGACACGCTTTACTACATGAGTTAGATCAGCTTCCTTCAGGCCTGACTTAGCACTGCTGGCGGTGAGTTCAGTGCTAATGAATCAACAATATAGAGTAAATAAGGTGTCTTTCAATAGAAATGCACATAAAACAAGGTTATGTATTGGTCAGCTGACAAAAATGTCATGACCAGAGGCTTCAGGAACCTCATCCAGGACGAGGACTGAACTTCACCCTGTATTTCCCCTAGGAGCAATGGTTCAGTGTTTGCTAATTCACAACTTTATAGATAATAACTACTGTGAATAACAAGAATTGGCTGTGCTTCACACCATTTCCTGAGCATTTAATCAGCATCCCTGCAGAAGAAGAGCTCCCCAAGGTCAAGGAGATCAAGCCCCAGCACACGGTAAAAGCTAAGTTCGTGTTTGCTGTACCCACAGAGAACGCATTAGCCAGAGTGACTGGGCTTGGTCTCTGTGTTAAACAAATGCCGTGGACTTGCTCCCCACTCTCCTGAACCTGAAAGAGCCCCAAGAGACGTAATGTCACAGGCTCAAGGACCACAGACAACAGATGTAAGGAAGGCAGGAATGGACTGTGGGGTGCCGAGGTCACCCAGAAGTCCAAGGATGCACATTCCAGGGGAGGTGAGGAGGACATGTCACTATTAGAGGGCGGTGGAGAGCCTGGGTATTCTCCATCCAGCTCCAAGCAGTGGAGGCATAAGACAGTCAGAACCTCCCTTCTGCTCAACCTGGAAGTGCTTCTGGAACAAGGTAGAATAATGGGAAATCAATGGGAAGAGGGAGTCAGCCATGCGGTGTTGCATTAGAGCCAAGAAAACCTGAAGTGGCACAAGCTGCACTGGGCCCTTTTGGGAGGGCTGATGAGGCTGTAGAGGGGATGTGCTGGGGCCTGGGAAGGAAAGAGATGCTATTCGTGGATAATGTGGTAGAAGGAGTGACTCTGTGGAATTAAACACACACATGGCTCAGGTGAACCTGGATGTCACATGTGGATCTTAACAGATTCTCACATCAGTTCCCAAAGAAGAAGGCTGGTGAGTCCAGAGCAATGAAGCAGCCTGGCAGAGTCCATCTCCTGGCTACCAGAAGCCACCTGGACTTGGTGTGGAGAATGAAGGAGAGAGGGGAATTATCAGGAAATTCTGACTCTGGCAGCTGAGTTGATGGCAGTGAGAAGTGGCGTCCAGGACTGGGACTGAGCCCCACGGTGGTGAGACATGGCGTCCAGGAGGAGGACTGAGCCAATGGTGATGAGACATGGCGTCCAGGAGGAGGACTAAGCCCATGGCAGTGAGACACAGCGTCCAGGAGGAAGACTGAGCCAGTGGTGGTGAGACGTGGTGTCCAGGAGGAGGACTGAACCCATGGCAGTGAGATACTGCGTCCAGGAGAAGTAGATTGGAGGGGAAGCAGAGTGTGTCTTTGGCTTGGTGGAGGTGGAGGAGGAGACTTCATGGCTCCAGGGAGGAGAGGCTCCTGGACCAGCTCCATATGCAGAAGAAAGGGTTTGGCTAAAGCACACACCTGGAGGCCATCGAGGTGGTGTTCCGATCCCTGGGCCCTGGCCAAATTCCAGACTCTGTTAAACAAGGAGCATGTGAGCATTTAAGAAAGGATGTGGAGATCATGTGGCATTAGCAGATGTTCACTGTCAACAGGTCAGGGGAAGCCACCCCCAAAGATGCCATGAGAAAGCATGGCCAGGGACAGTTGCAATGCCTCTGTGCCCTCATCACATCCCCTCATCCCTCCTCTGCCTACAGGGCAGCTCTGGCAGGCCGTTCTGTTTGAGATCAGGGGTTCCTGTAATTGATAGCATCCCAGCTCAAGCTCACAGCCACCTTTTCACTCTCTGCCCTCTGAGGCCAGGGAAGCCCACTGGGCCCATGTGCAAGTGTGGTCCTGAAGTGTAAGTGGTTCATGTCACCAGGACAATCTTCATTTGGGAGACAGGAACCAGAAGATACATACTCCACACTCCTGTCCACCACATGGACAGTTCTGGAAGGCTGCCGTTACAGTTCTTGAGAGGTGCCACACAATCAGACACTGTGGCTGTGTTGCTCCCATCAGTGACCTTGATAACACACCCTATGATGACTTTCCTCCTTCCTGTCTCACTCTCCTTGCACTCTCGTTTCTGCTTCCTGGACTGCCTCCCAAGTCCTGGAAGCTATACCCAAGTCCTTGTTCCAGCATCTGCTTCTGGGAAAAGCAGAGAGGAAATATGAAGAATATAGGGAGCCAAGCACCGTGGCTCATGCCTGTAATCCTGGCACTTTGAGAGGCCAAGGTGGGCAGATCACCTGAGGTCAGGAGTTTGAGACCAGCCTGGCAAACATGGTGAAACCCCATCCCTACAAAAAATACAAAGATCAGCTGGGTGTTGCAGTGCACACCTGTAATCCCAGCTACTCCGGGAGGCTGAGGCAGGAGAATCATTTGAACCCAGGAAGTGGAGGAAGTTGCAGTGAGCCGAGATAGCATCACTGCTCACTGCAATCTAACTTGGGCAACAGAGCAAGACTGTCAAAAAAAAAAAAAAAAAGAATACAGAGTGATCTGCGATGTTAAATGCCAAGAGGTCCAGTAGAATGATGGCCCAGGAAGGGGCATTTGCAACAGGGAAGGGGGTGCAGGTTACTGGAGACACTGCCACTGGAGCTCGGAAGTGGGCCCAGTACTCCCAGGGCTACCCTACTGAGGACATAGAGTCTGCTCTTGCTTGTGTGATTCTTTACACAAGTGCAGCACCTCCATCATTCTCCAGGGAGTATTCCTAAACCAGAAGGTGCTGAAAGCTTTAGAGAAGAGCTGAACAGAGAGGTGTTCACTGCACCTGCACAGCATGGTAAACTCCAGCAATTACCCTTGGACGCTGACTCTCTCCACAGTCTCTCCCTCCAGCCATCACCAGGTTCCCCCTTTACTGACACCCCTTCCCTGTGGCTCCTGCCCCCCTACTCCTGGATCTCCCTTCTCCACACAGCCAGCGACCTCTCTCAGCAGCCACCTCTCTGAGGGCTGGGCTCGGATGTGAATGATGTTGAGACGTGAGCCACAGCGGTGAGGCCCAAGGTCCTCAGTTCCCCTGTCCTCTATGGGGTTCCCACATCAGTAACCTGCTTCCTCCCACAGCGCCTTTCTATAGAGAAGACAGGCCAGGGACAAGAGTCTGGTTGCTCTAACGTGATCCTTCCCCAGAAGTCAGAGGGGAGACCTTGCTGCTGGCACGAGGAGGACTGAACAATTCTTTGTGGAAGCTTTTCCCCCAGCGTGTTCTCTGATAGACCCATAAGCAGCTGGAATCCTACCCCCTAGGAACTCTGAGTGCTCTGTTTTTCATTCACCACATCCAGCCTCCCTGCACACTAGCCCCATATTCATTTCCTCAACAAAGGTTTACTAGGCATGTACTTAGTGCCAGCCCCAGGGCCTGGCACCAAGGGTGGAGCTGGAGAGGGAAGGCCCACCTGTGACTGCATGGGGCTCCCAGCCAGAGGAGGAGGACAGGCTGTGTGCAGTAGGGCTGGGAGCTGTGCAGAAACCCAGAGATGCCCCTGGAAGGTGGCCCCTGCCTCCTGGCTCCCACTCCCTCACCATACACCCCGTTCTTTCATCCCTGGGTGCTCTACTAAGAATCCTGAAACAGTAGAGCAATGGGGAGCTTCGATACCCTTTACTCCCACACCTGCTGAGATCACGGACTCAGAAGAGGCTAGCAACTTGCTCATTTAGCACAGCAAGTGAGTAACAAAGCCAGGACAATAGCCTATGTTCTTTTTGTTCCAAACCATTGCCCTGCCCACTGCTGACCTTGTGGCATCAGCAAATCAGATAGAAGCCTCTGGGCCCATATAGTCTATGCCTCACTCATGAACACCAAACACATCTCATTTTCTGTGCTCGACAAGGGTAAGCACTTTTATCTGGAGGAGATGATGAGGTAGACTGTGTGTGTGTGTGTGTGTGTGTGTGTGTTCATCTGCGTGCGCATTTTGGGTGGAATTCCGTGTTATTTCTCTTCTCACAGTCCTGGAAGGCTGCTTAAAGAGGAAGCATTTTGGCAGTCTTCTAAATGACAGCTTGTTCTTGGGGGGCTGAGCAAGGGGGGACCCCAGGGGATGTGAGTGGGATGTCACTGCATGTCCCCGAGGCTGGGCACCTCCCTGTGTAAGACCCCATGCTGGCTGCTGGAAATTGCCAGAAGGCAGCGGCAGGTTCTCCAGGGTTCCTTTCACCAGTGTCCTTAGCTCTTTTCCTGGAAGATAAATTGAAGGCATCTTAACTTCTTTCTGCTTGCCAAACAACCTGTCAAGGAGGAAGAAAGAACAGAACCATCTGCTTAACCGGTGGTGACCCATGCTTCTCTCTGGGGCAAGAGGCTTCTTTCACTTCTGGGCCAAAGCTAAGTGCTTGTGAAAGCTGCCAGATGCTTGGTGTTCTGCGGTGGGCAGGTCTGTGCAAACCTACCCCCAAAGACCCAGGAAAGAGGCCTACAAATCCAGTTTCTCAGGAAGAAACGTTTATTTTATTAGGGACTTACAAACAGAAGCCACGTTGCAGGCAGCGTTGAGAGGAACAGTGGATCCCTGCACCATTATCCCCCAAAACCAGGACTTATCTACTGTAGGGAAGAAATGTGTAGGACAATTGAAGTTGACCCCTCAGGGAAAGGCAAGAATGCTATGTGAGTCTGCCTAAGGGCAGGATTCATGGTCAAGGTTGCTTTGACCTAAGGGCAGGATTTAAGGTAACAGCAGATGAAGTAGAAATCTTAGAGTCATTCCTGGAACAGGGGTTAATCAGAAGTCAAGATAGCATGTCAGCTTCCAAGATGGAGCTGATTTAGCCTCCACATGGAGTCGCTGGAAACCTCATGGGGAGGAAACCAGAAACAGAAATGGAAAAACTAGATTTTGTCCAACAATGGAGGAACCACGTAGAAAGTACAGTGCATCAATATCCCAGACTATGCAGCCACGAGACAATACTTGTGACAAAACTGGCTTCTAGCTTCCCATCCTGTGAAAAACAGCAGAACCCCCATGGTGCACCCACTGTATGCAGGTGGACAGAGCCAGGGAGGAAAGGGTCACAGAAGAAAACATTTTTGTCATGGTGGAATTAACTTATTACCCCAGGTGGAAAAATGACTGCATGTGTGCTGGGATCCTTTTCAAATGTTCAAATTATTTTTTTTTTTAAATCCAGAGTATAATATAAAAAGGACTCTGCAAGGAATAGAGGAGTTTATTCATTTACCTTCTAGCTGGCAGCTTCCCCACTTCCAGAGTTCGCCTATTTTCTTGACATATATGAAGCTCAGAGAAAATCAGTTTCTTTTGAACTTGTACGTTTCTTCAAAGGGTAGAGCAATTTGAACTCCCTGCCTATTGTGGTTTTCTTAACAAGCCAAAAAGGACACAACACATAATGCTTAAATCTGCAAGTACAAAAGCCTCTTCTTGGATTTAAAGTTGGGAAACATCTCCTGGGGAAAGTGTAACTATTAACGCAAAGTATTTGGTATTCACTGTACTGGAGGAGAAAAAGTTCTATACAACCATACTTCTGGAACCTGACCTATCTGTTTAATTACTTCACCAAAGAAGTGTTTAACCCTCTGCAAATCCAACTTCGTAATTTATCAGTCCAGTCGCTGTGCCTATGAGGAAACATAAATTGCAATCATCTTGCATTTGCACAGCAGCCACCAACTTACAGAGCACTTTCACATCTTTTGGTCCATTTCATTCACGAACACTCATCTTCCCGCCCCAGAGCCCAGTGAGGAGGGCAGGGTAAATTCCTGTGGTGCTGGAGCTGTGAATAACTAATCTAATCTGTGGAACACAGCTCCTGCCCTCTCCTGGCTTACCCTCTGAGTTCAGGAAGCCTCAGGAACTGTTTGCTCCTTGATATCTGGGAAGTGTTGCACAGAGCAGTTCTCACCCTTGTGGGAGCCTGGCGTAGAGGCAGAAGGCCTTACAGATACAGAGTGGGGCTCTTCGGAGACCCACCTCTTTGAGTTCAAATCTAGATTTAGCATATGTTTGCCGTGTGATTCTAGGTTTGTGTCCCAACTTCTCTGAACCTCAGCTATAATTTGGAGGTAATAATACCTTCCTTTGTAGGGTTGTTGTGAGCATTAAAGGAGATAAGTCTGGGAAGCATCTTGTCCAGTGCCCTGCTCAGAATATCCCCTAAATAAGCAGCAGCTAGGTGCAGTTTTGGGTACCCCAGAATTAGTTCTTCGTGTGGCTGCATTGGGATGCTCAGGGGCAGAACCCATAGCCTCTGTCTTCTTAGTCCTAACAAAAGCTACCCCAACAGTTTAGACCTTACCTCTAGGAGAGGCAGCAGGAAGAACGGCTCCCTCAGTCCCTCTCTATCCCTTTCCCCAGGATCTGCATGGGATCTCAGAACAAGGTCCCCCTGGAGGAGAGCCAGACCTGTCCCCCAGGCAGGCTTCTGGCTGTGGAGAGAGGCTGAGTCAAGGTCCCCACCACCCACCAAACCCCCAGACCAAGCTCTGAGGCCTCGGACAGTGTACATCCAGAAAGAGGCTTTGCTCTCTGGCTGGAGAAATGTTGTGTTGTTGTTGTTGTTGTTTGTTTGCTTAAGACAGAGTCTTGCTCTATCATCCAGGCTGGAGTGCAGTGGTGCGATCTCAGCTCACTGCAACCTCCACCTACTGGGCTCAAGTAACTCTCATGTCTCAGCCTCCCGAGTAGCTGGGATTACAGGCACGCACAACCATACACGGCTAATTTTTGTATTTTTAGTAGAGACAGGGTTTCGCCATATTGGCCAGTCTGGTCTGGAACTCCTGGTCCCAAGTGATCCACCCACCTCGACCTCCCAAAGTGCTGGGATTATAGGCGTGAGCCACCACGCCCGACCTGAAATGCTATTTTAAGGGTCCAATCTGGGTGCGCTGTGAGAAATGGGGCAGGAGAGGCTAGGACATATCCCCAGTATCCTCTCGAATATTGGGGAGCTATTCACCCTGGCTCTTTTTTTTTTTTTTTTTTTTGAGATGGAGTCTCGCTCTTTCACCCAGACCGGAGTGCAGTGGCGCTATCTTGGCTCACTGCAAGCTCTGCCTCCCGGGTGCACACCATTCTCCTGCCTCAGCCTCCCAAGTAGCTGGGACTACAGGCGCCCGCCACCATGCCTGGCTAATTTTTTGTATTTTTAGTAGAGACGGGGTTTCACCGTGTTAGCCAGGATGGTCTCAATCTCCTGACCTCCTGATCCGCCCGTCTCGGCCTCCCAAAGTGCTGGGATTACAGGCGTGAGCCACCGTGCCCAGCCTACCGAATGTTTAATATGCTTCCACTGTTGTCCACCCAGGCTCTTATTTGCTTGTGCAAGCCCAGCAATGTGGGGACATAAATGTAGGGACACAGAGTGAAGCTGGCGGCCACTTCCTGGGCTGTTTGGCCAGCATAGCTTTGAAGGTTTCTATTTTGAATGCCCTTGGGATGCTGTCTCTGCTTTGTCCCCTCCTTATCTTCTCATACCTACTACTTCACACATCTAGGAGCCTTGTGGCTCCTGAAGGTGAGTCTACAACCTCTCCACAGACACTCATGTCATTTACATAGGTGCTCGGTTTCTCTAATGGGAAGAGAGAGGAAAGGGCCAAATTCTTTCTGAGACCCTCTGCAAGGCCACTGGCACACACCAACCCATTTAGCTCTCACAGTAACCCCATGCTGGTGTTCTTACTATCCTTATTTTGTCAAGGAGGAAACTGAAGTTCAGGGAGTCATTGTTGGATATATTGGAGCTAAAACTGGCAGATCCTAAAGGCCAGGTCCTTGGTGTAACACCAGGGACCCGGAGCCATCACCTGTGAATCTGGTGCAGGTAGACAGACATCCCCAGGGGCTGATGGAACAGAGGAGAAAGCCTTGTTCTTATGGAGTTTGGACCTGTGGCCAGGGCTCCATTTACATTCCTTTTGAGAAATGGAGCCATCCTTTGGCACACACCCACCCCCATGCACCCTGACCTGGAGCCCTGTTGTCCACAGAACTGCCCAGTGGGCACCTGAGTCAACCAAGAATGGACTCTGGGGGACAGCACCCCCCTCACATCAGGATCCTATTGGTGCTTCACCTCCTACATCCATAGCTCTTCCTTGATCATAGCTCACTGGAGCAAACTCAACCACCCCCAGCTCCTGTGTTTGAGGGCCTGGGGGCAGAGCAGGGTCAATTGCACTGCTCAGATTGATCTGTTGACCCCTGAGACTCTTACCTGTTTATGTGGAAGTCAGGTGTCACGGAGCACACCTGAGGGAGAGCCTATCGCTGCTGTTCAGAAGGCTCAGCTGTGCGTCTCTTGCCTGGCCCTCAGTCCCCAAAGGCACCTGAGCTGGTAAACATGGCAACAGAAGTCACCTGCCCTCATTACCTGGCCCCATTTTCCACTCAAACATCTCTTCCTCACCAGCCAAACAGATACAAAGATGCTCAAGCTTTGGGCTCCAGCTGGGAGACCAGGTTATTCTACATATCACGTGCAACAGCCCCTCTGACCCTCAGGATCCACTGAGGCCTCACTGCACAAGGGCCTGGCAGGGACCCACAAACCCTCCCTCACTTCTTTAGGGTCCTGAAATTGGTGGTATTAAATTATTCTAGTTTATAATCCACCTTCTTCCAAAAAACTCCCTGATGCCTAATAGGCATTATGATACATTAATGAAAGTACTGGCTACTCTGAACGCACTGCCTATGGGCTAGTTCTGCTCTCCAAGGAACAATCAAATAAAAAATGTTTTTAAAAGTATTTACTTACATTTAAAAATATGTGTAATACAAGATCAAATTAAATTTTTTTTAAATGGATGTGGCCAGGTGCGGTGGCTTACACCTGTAATGTCAGCACTTTGGGAGGCCGAGGTAGGCAGACCACTTGAGGTCAGGAGTTCGAGACCAGCCTGGCCAACATGGTGAAACCCCATCTCTACTGAAAATATAAAAATTAGGCCAGACGCGGTGGCTCACACCTGTAATCCCAGCACTTTGGGAGGCCGAGGTGGGCACATCACGAGGTCAGGAGATTGAGACCATCCTGACTAACACGGTGAAACCCCGTCTCTACTAAAAATGCAAAAAAATTAGCCAGGCGTGGTGGCAGGCGCCTGTAGTCCCAGCAACTCTAGAGGCTGAGGCAGGAGAATGGCGTGAACCCGGGAGGCGGAGCTTGCAGTGAGCCGAGATCGTGCCACTGCACTCCAGCCTGGGTGACACAGCGAGACTCCGTCTCAAAAAAAAAAAAAAAAAAAAAAAAAAAAAAAATTAGCTGGGCATGGTGGTGAATGCCTGTAATCCCAGCTACTTGGGAGGTTGAGGCAAGAGAAATGCTTGAACCTGGGAAGCAGAGATTGCAGTGAGCTGAGATAGCGCCACTGCACTCCAACCTAGGTGACAGAGCAAGACTCCATCTCAAAAAAACAAAACAAAATAAAATAAAATAAAATAAAAGGATGTTAAGGGCCCAGACTGAGGTCTTGAAATGCCATTTATTCCTAAAAGTCATGACAGTTTTTTGGGGAAGAGACTGACTTCAGGTATGGGCAGAAATGTACAAGGCAAACCTGGAACATCATCTATTACATAGCAAGGAAACCATCAAAGACTTCTAGGGTCTACAGATCAGATGATAATGCTGAATCACTGTTGATTTTTTAACTTGGAAGATTGCGTTGTGTATGGTCTTGCAGGAGAGTGCCCTTCTTTTGGGGAGAAGTACACACTTGAGTATTTAAGGGCTATGAGGTATTTTGTCTTCACCTTGCTCTCAAATCATTCAGAAAAAGACTAATGACAATGGGATATATATAGAAATAGAGTGTGGGTAGGAACCATGACTTGCTTCTAACCAACAGAATATGGCAAAGGTAATAGATTGTCACTCCTTTAATTACATTGTTATATAAGATTCCATCTTGCTAGCCAGCTTGCTCTAGAGACTCTCCTTGCTGGTTCGATGAAGTAGCCAGTCATGTTGGGGAGACATACATAGCAAGGATCTGTGGAAAGCCTCCCAAAAATGTAGACAGCCTCTAGGAGCTGATGGTGACCTTCAGCCTCCAGCCAGCAAGAACCAGGACCCTCAGTCTATAACCTCAAATAAATGAATTCTGCTAACAACCCAAGTGAGCTTCGAAGCAGATGCTTCCCCAGTATAGCTTCCAGATGAGAGCACCTCCCAGCTGACACCTTGATGTTAGCTTTGTGAGATTCAAAGGAGAGGACCCAGTTAAGCTGTGTCTAGACTGTTGACCACAGAAACCATTAGATAATGACATGTGTAGTTTTGTTTGTTTGTTTTTGAGACGGAGTTTTGCTCTTTTTGCCCAGGCTGGAGTGTAATGGTGCAATCTCGGCTCACTGCAACCTCCACCTCCTGGGTTCAAGTGATTCTCCTGCCTCAGCCTCCTGAGTTGCTGGGATTACAGGCGCCCAACACCACACCTGGCTAATTTTGTATTTTTAGTAGAGACGGGGTTTCACCATGTTGAACCAGGCTGGTCTCAAACTCCTGATCTCAGGTGATACGCTTACCTTAGCCTCCCAAAGTGCTGAGATTACAGACATGAGCCACTGCACCTGGCCACATGTGTAGTTTTAAGCTGCTAAGTCTGTGATACTCTTGTTATGCAACAACAGAGTACTAACACAGTTGGGGACATTCATTATTTAGTTGCAGGCTACAGGGCAGGGAAAGCAGCACACCCCTCTACTCCATCCTCACCCCAACACACGTACTCCCAGCTGAGCAGATGCTGAGGGCATGGCTTGGACCCAGGGACTGTGGGAGAAGAGAAGACACTCTTGTCTCTTCAAGCCCCACTTTCCCCAGGAGCCTGCCCCATCTGCCACAGTCTTTCTAGAAAAAGAAAGTACAATTGTTCCTTGTTGGGCAGGAAGATGCTGGGGGCTGCCTGGAGACGAGCCAGGCTAGAGCTGACAGTAGGTCTGTGACATAGGTCAGCTCACTCCCTCCTCCTGACTGGGCCACCCACTCATAACTTTCCTGGGCAAATTGGGGCCTAGTTCCAAGAGGAGGGATTATAGGGTTGGAGCCAGGAAATGTACAGAATCATCCCCAAAGCAGGAGGAGGTGAAGGGCAAGGAGGATGAGAAAGGAGTTTGCTTTATTTTTGGAAGGCAGGGAGAGGGGACCCCTCGGAGGCCCCCTGGCTGCTGGCTCTCCTGTAGGCTCTGCCCAGCCTCACTGGTCTCTTCTTGTCCCTGGGATGTGCCAACACCAGTTCCATCTTGGGGCTGGTGGAAAGTATTGAAATTAATGAAAGTATTGTCTATTCTTGGCCAGGTGCGGTGGCTCACGCCTGTAATCCCAATACTTTGGGAGGCCGAGGGGGGCAGATCACAAGGTCAAGAGATTGAGACCATCCTGGCCAACATGGTGAAACCCCATCTCTACTAAAAATACAAAAATTAGCTGGGTGTGGTGGTGCACGTCTGTAGTCCCAGCTACTTGGGAGGCTGAGGCAGGAGAATCGCTTGAAGCTGGGAGGCGGAGGTTACAATGAGCCGAGATTGTGCCACTGCATTCCAGCCTGAGCGACAGAGCGACTCTGTCTCAAAAAAAAAAAAGTATTGTCTATTCTTGACACATTGCCTATGGGCTTCCCTTCTTGTTGTGCCTGTAGCCTGGGCACTCTTCCTCCAGACCTGCCCAATGCGGCCTCAGTCTCTCTGCTCAAAAAACAGAGAAAAAGCCACTTCCTCAGAGAGGCATCCTCTGACTCCCCCAACTTAGGTATCCATCTGCTGCCCCCATATCCCTATGATGTTTTATTTTCTTCATAACTCCAGCATCTGAAGTTGCTATTTATTTATTCGTTTTTATTTATTTTTTCGAGACAGAGTCTTGCTCTGTCGCCCAGGCTAGAGTGCAGTGGCTTGATCTCAGCTCACTGCAACTTCCACCTCCAGGGTGCAAGCGATTCTCCTGCCTAAACCTCCTGAGTAGCTGGGACTACAGGTTCATACTACCTTGCCTGGCTAATTTTTGTATTTTTAGTAGAGGTGGGGTTTTACCATGTTGGCCAGGCTGGTCTCAAACTCCTGACCTCAAATGATCCACCCACCTCGGCCTCCCAAAGTGCTGGGATTACAGTGTGAGCCACGACGCCCGGCCTGAATTTGCTATTTATTTTTGTGTTTATTATCTCTATTTATTATATTTGTCTCTATTTGCACTAGAATGCAAACTTGAGCAGTATGTGTCTTACAATTGTTTTCTGAGCACTTATCGCAGTGCCTGGCCCTCAGCAAGCCCCCAGTAACTGTTTGTTGAATTAATGAGTTCTCAGTTGGTGCCATCCTGCTTCTAGGTGCTTCTCCTGTGTCACGGCAACTCACCAGAAGCACAACAATGACCCATAGGGTCACCTATCAGCCCCACCCATCAGCTCAGGATAATATTACAGGCTCAGAACCCAACTGCTGTGCTTCAAAACCCAGTTCTCCTTCCTAGCTGTGAAACCTTGCACAAGTCCTTTAACCTTTCTACGTCTTAAACCACATCTGTAAACCACAACAATAATAAAAATACCTACCTTGTAGGCTACTATGAGAATTAAAGGAGATTTGCACAACATGCTTAGTACCCAACATTCAATAAATTCAATATATATGAAATTTTTTTTTTTAAGATGGAGTTTTGCTCTGTTGCCCAGGCTGGAGTATAGTGGCATGATCTCAGCTCACTGCAACCTCTGTCCCAGGGGTCCAAGTGATTCTCCTGCCTCAGCCTCCCGAGTAGCTGGGATAACATGTGCCCACCACCATGTCTGGCTAATTTTTGTATTTTTGGTAGAGATGCGGTTTCACCATGTTGGCCAGGCTGCTCTCGAATTCCTGTCTTCAAGTGATCCACCCACCTCAGCCTCCCAAAGTGCTGGGATTACAAGTGTGAGCCACCGTGCCTGGCCTCTCTTATTATCTTTTTATATTCAACTTTATCCACAGGGATGCCCTTTTTCATTTCTGATATTGGCTGTTAGATATTAGACAGTTTTTTCTTGATCAAAATCAACAGAGGTTTGACATTTTTCCTGGTTTCTTCAAGGACTACTTTCCAGCTTTGTTTAGCTTCTCTTGTATTTCCCACAGGTCCTTTTTAATCAAAGCATAATTTACACATAATAAAATGCACAGATTTTTAAGTGTACAGTTCTCTCAGTTATAATAATTATATACACTGTATAACCAACATGTTTGTATTTTTAGTGGAGACGGGGTTTCACCATGCTGGCCAGGCTGGTCTCGAACTCTTGACCTCAGGGGACCTACCCGCCTCGGCCTGCCAAAGTGCTGGAATCACAGGCGTGAGTCACCATGCCAGGCCTCAATACATTGTTGTTGTTGTTTTTTTAATTTCAAATATGTTTTTTAAAAATAATTTCAAATTAAAAGTGGCAAAAATAGTAAAAGAACTCCCATATCTTTTTCATTCAGATTCCCCAGCTGTTACATTTCATTTGCACACTCCCTCTTTCATTCTAGTTTTACATATATTGTTATCGTAGGTCTTTACTCTGAATGATTTGAGAGCAAGCTGCAGACAAAATGCTCTATTGCCCCTAAATGCTCCACCGTGCACTTCCCCCAGAACGAGGGCACTCGCCTACAGAGTCCAGATGTGACGACCAGCTGGGGGATAACGGGTTCCACCCTTGCAAGTGTGATTGCCCCTCTGCCCTGAGGTCTGGTCTTGTCTTTTCTTTTCTCTTCTCTTCTCTTTTCTTTTCTTTTCGAGACAGGGTCTCACTCTGTTGCCCATGCTGAGTACAGAGGCACGATCACAGCGCACTGGAGTCTCCACTTCCCAGGCTCAAACGATCCTCTCACCTCAGACTCCTAAGTAGCTGGTCCTACAGACACGCACCACCACACCCAGCTAATTTTTTAATTTTTTTGTAGAGACGAGGTCTCACTGTGTTGTCCAGGCTGGTCTTGAACTCCTGGACTCAAGTGATCCCACCTCGGACTCCCAAAATGCTGGGATTACAAGCGTGAGCCACCACCCCTGGCCCAGGTGTACTTTTCTAAAATTATTATTATTCCGGATTTATTTTCTCTTGGAGAATTACTTCTTTCCCCTGTGTATACAGTCTTGACACTCTAGTCAACGAGATGTCCTGTTCCTTACTAGCCAAGGGTGGGTGTGAAGCCAAGCCTGGGCAAGTGAACACACTCTCCCAGAGTTTGTGGATCTTGGACAGAGTGATGCGGAAAACCACATTGTTGGTACAAGGGTGAGCATGATGACTCTGCCCCTTCCTGGGAAGTTGGAACATGTTAGTCACTTACACACTTCTACAAGGGGGTTTGGAAGGAAAGGTGTAGGGGCTTCCTCTAGGTGAACAGGCTCCAGGACAGAGTTGAAATAGAATTTTAAAAAGAGCCCAATTGTGAAGGGGACGGATAGGAATCCAAATGATTTTTCTGCATTTTGGGGGGTAGAAAAATGTTTAAAAAAGAAAAAAAGGGCTGGGCACAGTGGCTCATGCCTATAATCCCAGCACTTTGGGAGGCCAAGGCAGGTGGATTGCTTGAGCTCAAGAGTTCAAGACCAACCTGGGCAACATGGCGAGACTCCCATTTCTGTAAAAAAAAAAAAGAAAAAAGAAAAAAAGCTTTCCAAAGAATAGATGAGAAAAAGGAGGCATGTCAAAGGGACTTATTCAAGTTAAATGTCTAGTAAGAAACAGAACTAGGATTCAAACTTAGATCTGCAGTGTCTCCACATTGCACACTCTCCTGGCTATCCCACCTCACTCCAGTGAGAGCTTAAGAGTCAATGGGCTGAGTAAGGGGTAGGGGGCTTGGCCAGGTTTCAGAAGGAGAGCTGGAGAAAGCCAGCTAGCTATTGGGCATGGCAGAGCCTCCCTGACCAACTCCATGCATTCCCTGGACAGCTGTAGGTTCAGGGCCATCGAAGGGGGAAACAGTAGAGCAGCCGAATACCAGTGACCCCATGTTGGCAGGCAGGGCACCTGGGGAGACTGCCGTGAGCAAGGGCCAGGATTGGAGCCTGTCTCCTGGCCCTGACTCCAGCCTCATCATGCGCCTTTCGGGGACATGATGGGGAAAGAGGGCATACATTTTGTCCCTCTGGATCCCAGAATCATCTTTGCCTGATTGAGGGAGGGGACACTGAGGAAAGAGGAGGCTGTTGGACACAGTAAATATATGAAGCGCCTACTTTATACCAGACACTCTGTTGTGTGATACGTAATGTAACCCTCCCAAGGCTCTACTTCAGAAAGGTTAAGTGATTCGCTCATGATCACAGAGCTAGAAAATGGCAAAACCAGGACCTTGAATCCCAACCCAGTGCTCTTTCCACAGTTCCATGCTGCTTCTCACCATGCAGGGTTTGGGAAACAAGCTTTAGGGGAGGCAGCACTGTAGAGCCATTGAGAGCATGAATGTACGCTAGGCTGCCCAAGTTCAAATCCAGCCCTATTGCTTGCTGGCCACATGACTTTAGGCAAATTATCTAATCTCTTTGTGTTTTATCAGTTGCCTTATCAGCATCCTTTGTAGTGTCAACCTCATAGGGCTGTGTAAGGATTAAATAAAATAACACACTTAAAGCCTTCCACTCAAGGTCTAGAACATGGCAAATACTAGATGAAAGTTAAGCTGTTTCTGTGCTGCAAGCTGGTGCATTGAACATGCCTCTCCCTGGGTGGCTTAAAGGTGATTCTAGGTGGGGAGAGAAATAGGAGCATTGGAGAGAAGACAAGAGAGAGGATGGAACCTTCAGAACCAGCTGCCTTCAACTCGCTTTACAGCTTGTCACTCCAAATAAAAGCAACAGTCACAACATATCCTTACTATGTAGGGTTTTACCCTTTGCAAATGCATTCTCAGACACTCATTTTAGCCTCGTGACAGCCCTGTCTGGTGGGTACTACTATCCCCATTTTGCAATTGAGAAAACTGAAGCTCTGAGATCCCAGGTCCTGCCCCAGTTGGGCACTGGGGTGGGACTCCAGGTGGGTAACAGATTGAGTTGCCCTGACCACCTAGCAGAAGGGGTAGACGTCAGAGGCAGTGAGACCTGCAGGATGACTTTTACCAGTGGTTCTCAAATTTGAGCATGTTTCAGAATCCCCTGGAGGGCCTGTGAAAAACACGAATTGCTGGGCCCCAACCCCAGAGTTTCTGACTCAGAGTCTGGGGTTGGGAGTTGGTCTTGCTGAGAGCCCTCTAACCATTAGCAGCGGCGACATCTTGTGGTGAGGGACAGAATGTACCTTGGGCTCCCTCAGCCCTGATTACCCGCGCGTCCAGGATGATGCCGGACCAGGCTGCACCGCCCAGAGGCCCGACGGCGTCGCTGGGGCAGACCCAGAGACTCTCACACGCCTTGTCCTTGCCCGGAGGGTGCAGGCGCCTGCATGCCTCATTTACCCTAGAGAGAACAGGAAAACCTAAACTTGTTGTGCAGAACCTGCAGCTTCGTGTTAGAATACTATTTCCTCCCCCCACCTCCCTTTTTGTTAGAGACAATATCTCTGTTGTCCAGGCTGGAGTACAGTGGTGCTCTGCTCGCTGTAGCCTCCAACTCCTGGGCTCAAGTGATCCTCTCGCCTTGGCCTCCCAGAGCGCTGGAATTATAAGCATGGCTCATCGCACCCGGCCCAGAATATTTTTTATTCTCATTTTTGTAAATAAGTTTCTTCCCTGGTCTTTCCACCGGAGCCTGTGAATCGCAGCCTCGTGGCACCACCACAGTTGGCTTCTCAAGTCGGGAGGCTGACTCCTTGAACCGGGCGCCTCACTTCACGATTGCTTTCAGCTCAAAGGAGCATTTTACAACAGGAACCATTATCCCTGGTAGCTTGACGTCCAGCCCTGACACGATTTTCTGATTGACTAAAATTAGGGTAATGAGTTATGAGGGCAGAGAATGGAGCTGCGATCCCTGTAGGCGGGGGCAGTACCGCCTCTTATTTCCTCTGCCCAGGTGGTTAAGTTGGTAGATTGGGGTGTAGGTGTCTCTGGAGTTGGGCAGCAATGGGTGGGGTAGTAGAAGGACACCTGGTCTGTGTCCGGGGCTGGGTTCGAATCCCCACTCTGCCTGTGAGCTGAGAGCCCATGGGCACATCACCTGAGCTTTCTGCGTTTATCTGTAAAATGGGCAAGAGGCAATCAGTCATTTATATGAAAGCGGCCTGCAGTGCCTGGCACCGAGGCGGGCACGGATGGGCATTTGGTAAGGCAGGGAGGAGGAGCGCGGCGCCTGGAGGCTCCCGGGGCAGGGGAGAAGGGCATCGAGAACGGGGGCGGCGTGCGGGGTGGGAAGAGGAGAGAGTTCACGGCTTGCTCCTTCCCCTGCCCCCAGCCGCCTCAGCCCAGGCCTGAGTCTCTCCCCGTCTGGGCCTCTGCTTCCTGCAGGCACAGCCAGGGCCAAGACGCGCCCCTGGGCCTCCCTCCCCTTCGACGTCTCCACCCGGTATGGAACATTAATCATTAACCGTCCTGTGGCCAGGCCCAGCGGGGCGCCCGCTTCAGCTCTCCCGGTGCCACCTAGCTGAGTCACCGCGGTCTGGGCAGCTCCCCGCAGCCAGGACCTCCCTCCGGGCCGAGGGTCGCGGGGTTCGAGCCGCGGCGAGGTCTTGGGCTTCCCAGGGGCCGCTCCTCGGTGCGCCGCCGCCCACAATCAGCAGGGGGCGCCCGTCCCGACCGCGGGAAGCCGGCGGGGCCACCGAGCGGCGGGCTGGCCTGGCGGGGCGGTGTCAGGGCGGCAAGGCGGCGCCTCCCCAAAGCCGTAAACCTTCCCGCCCGGCTGACTACGCCGGCCCAGCCACGCACGCGCACCCCGCATGCCCCGTGGCCTGTGAGGTTATTCAAGAAGCCAAGGTCGGGAGTGGGGAAGGTCAGCCTCTAGCCCGGCACTGTCTGGAAAAGATCGAACCAATTAATTGACTGTAAGAAGCATGTAACCAATACAATGGAAGGCATTGCTACCCTTCCTCCACCAGGTTCAGGACCTCATGCCCAAGGAACGGCGCGCAGGAATTGGTAGTAGGTTGTGGAGGGTCAGGGGCTCTCCCAGCATCCTGAGGCTGTCTCCTGTGAAGGCCACTCCAGAGGTTAAAGCTTTCCCGGGTGCCAGGAGAGCTCTCCTAATTCAGCCGTAGGGATCACCAGTAAAGATGCTCAAAAATCCCAGCATCTCCCACTTGCAACCCACAGGGGATTCTATTCTACTCTCTCTAATTCCCCATGGCCACATAGTTGAGGTCACTTAACAATTTTTTTTAAAGACGGAGTTTCGCTCTTGTTGCCCAGGCTGGAGTGCAACGGCGCTATCTCGGCTCACCGCAGCCTCCGCCTCCCGGGTTCCAGCGATTCTCCTGCCTCAGCCTCCCCAGTGGCTGGGATTACAGGCATGCACCACCACGCCTGGCTAATTTCGTATTTTTTGTATAGATGGGGTTTCTCCATGTTGGTCAGGCTGGTCTTGAACTCCCGACCTCAGGTGATCCGCCCTCCTCAGCCTCCCAAAATGCTGGGATTACAGGCATGAGCCACCGTGACCGGCCGGTCACTTAACATTTAACCTAACACCCACCTGCCAGCAGGTCAAAGGTTATTGCCTATGACTGGCCAGGTTTCACTTCGGCTGCCGTGGTGCTCCTGATGTGACTGCACTGGGCAGACGGACCTGAAGTACTGTCCCTGTATTAAGTGGAGTGGCCCCGGGAATGAAGCCATAACAGCAGCCAGAGACAGCAGCCCAGATTGGCTGTCTTGACAGCCCAGAGCCAGTGTGGTCAAATCTGCCCCCATGATGCCTGTGTCCTTGCTATTCCCGCCCCAGTCATCCCCCTCTGAACCCCAAGGAGTAGCTGTGAGGGTGCAGGTGGGTGAAAGAGACAGGCAGTGGACATTAGTGCAAGAACTAGGGTCATGGGTTCTGAGTCCAGCTGGTCACTGCATACCTACGTGATGACACATAATTTCTCTGAGTCTCAGTTTCCCCAGCTGTAAACAGCACTAATAGGAACTGTGTGGACTACCTCAAAGGGTTGGTAAAGGGTTCAAATTAGATAACGAATGTTCATCACTAACCCATTCATTCGTTAAATGTTTATTACAAACTTGCCTGAAAGATGATGATCCGTCTTCTCAGTGGCAGCAGAAAAATCATGAAAGACCCTGCCCATGACGCCACCTGTGGTGCACACAGGCTTAGCACCAGCCTTTCTTAAACTGTGTGAGCAGGAGGGCTGCTGCAGAGGAGGAGGGATGCAAGGTGAAGGGGGAGGAGAGGCAGGAACTGCATGGTGGAGGAAGCAGGAAGAAGGGCGAGGCCTCACCCATATGGCCTCAGCAGGCCCTGTGATCTCCCTGTTGAGCCCAGGTTCTCCCAGAAGCTCCCTGGGAATTACTGAGCTGGGTGTGGCTTCCTAGCCCCACACCTGCCCAGCCAGCTCAGGGCCCCTCCGTGCTGTCTTCTCAGGATCCTGCTTCAACCTGCTGCCACTTCCCCATGCCTAGCTCACTGTCACTTTCTCCCTTACCTGCCCTCTCAGCCTCAAACTGATAATTTGGAAAAAGAGGCGCCTGGAAAAAACCACTTCCAGGGTACAGCAGGAACCAGCCTCACTCTTCTTTCTCTCTTTTAAAAATTATTACGATTTTTACTGAGATGGGTTCCAAGTATCACTCTCCACCACCTCATCACCTTCTGGGACCTGGATGGACTCCAGATCACTATGTTGCCTAGGCTGGTCTCAAACTCCTGAGCTCAAGTAATCCTCCGGCCTCGGCCTCCCAAAGTGTTGGGATTACAGGCGTGAGCCACTGTTGCCTGGTCTGGCCTCGCTTTTAATTTTGGCTTCCTGGAGGCTTTTGCTGAGGTAGAGATGCAGGCCACCCTTGCCTGACAATGCCTTCCAGGCAATTGAGTGGCTGAGCCAGTGGGAGAAGGTGGGCTTCTCTCACTCCCAGGTGTGGTGGTAGTGAACCAGCCCAGGTGGTCA